>NC_000005.10:178168454-178318900 GCF_000001405.40 Homo sapiens | reverse complement strand
AGATGAAGTCTTGCTGTATCGCCCAGGCTAGAGTGCAGTGGCACAATCTCGGCTCGCTGCAACCTCTGCCTCCCAGATTCAGGCAATTCTCCTGCCTCAGCCTCCCGAGTAGCTGAAGTTACAGGCGCCCGCCACCACACCCGGCTAATTTTTTGTATTTTCATTAGACATGGGGTTTCGCCATTTGGGCAGGCTGGTCTCGAACTCCTGACCTCAGGTGATCCACCCACCTCGGCCTCCCAAAGTGCTGGAATTATAGGTGTGAGCCACCGCGCCCGGCCGAAAGCCCCTTTCTGGAGTCGCCCCACCCCTCCCCTTCCTGTCCAGGTCTGCTGGCTAGTCCGGCCCCTTCGGCCCTTCAGAGATGTTCTCATGGCTCTGAGCCCCTGTGGGCAGGAAGGGTCGTAGTCTCAGGCACGCTGAGGGGCTTTCCCCTCTTCCCATCGGTTTTGCTCAGTCCTCCCTTCAGCTGCCTGGGCCGAAGGGTCTGGGGAGGGGCTCTGCCAGGCCTGAGAAATGGCCTGTGGCTTAGCTCCCCATCGTGGCACCCACGTGCCTTACATCTGCCAATCAAAAGGAGTCCCAGTCAGTACCTCTCCCTTTAAGTCTCTGCTGGAAGGCACCGAAGGCTGGGGGCTTTCAAAAGGCAGTGCTTCTGACCCCACAAATGTGTGAGAAAACCCAGCACAGGTGCCTAGCCTATTCCTGCGGATTCTGGAAACATGAACAAGAGGGCCTTTTTTGGTAGATCACTGAAGATTTGTGGTTATTCATGACATAGCATAATTGTGGCAACAGTTGAATGATCTACCTGTGGCTCTCTTTGTCCCTCCCTGATACGGTGTGGCTGTGTCCCCACCCAAATCTCATCTTGAACTGTAGCTCCCATAACTCCCACGTATTGTGGGAGGGACTCATTGGGAGATAATTGAATCACGGGGGTGGTTTTCCCCATACTGTCCTTGTGGTAGTCATCGAGATCTCGTGGTTTTATATAAGGGGTTTCCCCTTTTGCTTGGCTCACATTCTGTCTTGCCTGCCACCATGTAAGATGTGCCTTTCACCTTCTGCCATGATTATGAGGCCTCCTCAGCCACATGAGTCCATTAACCCTCTCTTTCTTTATAAATTGCCCATTCTCAGGTATGTTTTTATTAGCAGCATGAGAACTGGCTAATACGCTCCCCAACCCATTGGCAAGGCATAACCTGGGCGCCACTCTCAGAGATCTTACAATGAAACATGAAAGAGGAGTGTTATTCAGTAGTGGCCATGTTTACATAAGAAAAACAAAGCATGGTCTGTGTCTTCAAGATGTTCATGATTGTGTTGATAAAGAAAATCTGCATACCTCCAACAAAAGGTAATTTTGATCAGTGTATCTTGACTAGTGGCGTATATTGGTGTTGCTGAAGAACCTTTTCAAAATGTGCATGTTTTGGTGCCAGGCAGGACTCACTGAATCTAACAATTCTAGGGGTTTGGCCTAGGGATATACATTTTAGAAAAGCAACTCAGGGAATTCTAATGCCCTTGCCTGGTTAACAACCAACAGTAAAGGCTAAATAAAGCAAACAGGATATTTGTGCATAAGTGCAAATGAGTGAAGGAGAAACATGAGGTTAGTAGAGTCCAGAGTTGTCTGTCCTGAAGGGCTTAGAAAGGTGGGATCTGCACAGTCCTTGAAGAATAATAGGATTTAAATAAATAGAAAGACAGGTGGGGAAGCAGGCAGAGAGAATATCACAAACTCTAGCATGTGGATTGTAATTAATATGGCATGACTAGAACAGAGACTGACTTATTTATGAATGTATTTATTTATTCTGTAAGCATGTCTTTAGCATTTACTGTGTCAAACATTAGTCTGAGTTTTTTAATAAATATTAACTATCATAACAAAACTATGAGATAAGCAGTAGTATCAGTCTCACTCCATAGAATAAGCCGACCAGAGTGGAAGACTCGTATACTCTCTAGTGATGTAACTCACTCAGAATTTTGTATTTGATAGAAAAACTGTTAATGCCAAGCAACGTTTTTTTTTTTTGCAAAGAAGTCCACAGACTTCAATGTTGCAGTCCACTACCTTGAAACTAGATCTTACTGTTATTATTAGTTTGTTTGAGCGTATGTGGCTTACAAAAAGAGATGGATAAAAGCTAAGAAAGAGAATAAAACCATTTTAAATATCACTGTGGTTGGAATTTTTCCTTACTATAATTCTAGTTAAAATAGTTTGATTCCAATAAACAAGATCCCTCTTCCTAGAAAATGTATTCATGCTTTACTCCATTTATAAAGGCATGAAGGCACAGACTTCTCTTAGTAAGTGAAAAAAATCGGGAATTCTGTCTGGATAGGAGCACTTCTAAGCAAGGTAATTATCTAAGGAAAGAACTGTTCAATGAGTCTCCAAAGCTCCACACTGAATTTGATGAAATCCAGCCAAGGCTTAATTTTAATCGTTCAAATTTCGTTAAAACTCTGTATATCATAAATATTTTATAGGATACATATTTTCTTATTAAACTAATAAGAGTCATTCCAACCTTACGTTTTTCATTCTGGAAATCTCTAGACAGGTTACATTATATTAAGAAGGTAACAAACCCAGACGTATTTCATATATGTTTCTTTGTTTTTCAGAATACTTTCTAACTTCTTTAGGTCTATCTAATTGATTCCTATCTAGAAGTAAATATCTAAGAATCATCGAATTACGAACGTGTATTAGTGGATATAACATAAGTTTATAGTGCTGGAATGACCATCCGTGAAGACCAGTTGGATTCTAAGTAGAATTATATTTAAACTGCTTAAACAAATACCTCTCTAACTTTTCTTCACACAGCTTCAGAAGAAAAAAAATTTAACACAGTTTCCGCAGTAATACATTCTCTGGGTTTTATGTTCAGCTAAGATATGCTGTATTAAAAAGTAGGTGAATAAAACCTATTGTTTACCTCGTAATAATTTGAGACTACAAGATTGTTGTAATCTAATCAAAGGAATCAAGCTAATCAAGGAATACAGTGCTTGTTTTTTTATTAGCAATTATCAGTTTATTTTCTCTGGAGGATACCATGACTATGAATAAAAGATTATTTGTCTTGAAAAAAAAAAAAAAAAAAAAAAGTCAGTGCTTCTACTAGAAAACGTTGATGCTTTTCCTCCCTGGGCAACCTCAGCCCCTTGACTGGAGGCACTGACAAGAGCTCTGACAGTCTGATCCGGAGACCGTGACCAGCCCTTGTCCCCTTCCCGTGCCCTGCCCCTTCCCGTCCTTCTTGTTGCACCCTCTGGGTGGGACATTCCATGTTTAGCTCTGGTGCCAAAACCACAGTCATTTCCCTGAAAAGGAAGAACTTAGGAGGGCATCACTGGTGCAGGCAAACGCCCTGGCCTGACCAGCTCTGAGCCTTGGATGGTCCTTTTGCCTGTGGGCCTCAGGGTTTTTATCTGTAAATGGGGCCAATCTTGTACATCTCAGAATTACTCGAGAGGATTGAGGAGATGGTAAAAGCCCCCAGCACGTGGCCTGCTGGGCTCAGCCCGTCAGCAGGTCCTACCATCCCCAGCCCACCGGGCACCCCCTTGCCTGAGCCCTCCAACCGGAGCCCTTGGGGAGATGCTCTTGGAGCTCCAGAGAACACGGTGTGTTGGGGCTGCAGCACGGCTGGTATGTCACCAGGATGCGTCATGGGTCCGGACTCCTTAATCCCATTGGAAAAGCTTAACTAAATCCGCTCCTAACTCAGGGAGAGGAACCAGCCCAGAAACTGCAGGCATTTTGGATGGCACAAGGAGGGCATGCTATGCATAAAGGGGGCTGGAGTCGTCTCGGGTCTCCAGGGCTGCCGATCACACTGGCCTTGTAATTAGACATTTAATTCACAGACCTCTGAGAGACATCCTGGGCAGCTTAACAAATGCCAAGAAGAGGTTATGAAAACCGTGGACTATTTAACCTCTCTCCTTTAATAAGTATCTTCTTCAATGAGAGAGAGCCAGGCAGTGTTTAAGGACATGACTCTCAATCAGAACTGCGTGACTCTACCGGCTACCAGCGTACGGCCTCAGAAAGCCCATTAACCTCCCTGTGCCTCAGTTTCTTCATCTATAAAATGGAGATAACAGTAACAGCCTTCCTCATGGGTTTGAGGTCAGGAATATGTGAGTTAATACCGTAGACTCGAGATTGGGGCCAAGTGTAAAGTTGACACTCGATAAATGGTGCCGGCGGCTCTTGCTTTTATTAAACACTGTTGCAGGCCGCTGTGGTTGTCTGGTATCTGGTGCTGTCAGCTCCTTTGTAGAGCACATGAATGTCCACATTTGAGGCCCTCTGTGAATGTGACACTGGGGACACCTACCACCCCAGCCCCTCCTAACAGGGCCCTATTCATTCATCCACCGAATGGCACCGTGTCCAAGCCACCTTAACCAGCTCTGGTCACTGGGGTGGTCGGGGTCTGTCACCAGCCTGGACAGTAACCGTTGTTCCAAACAAACATGACGAAGACGAAGACTATGGCGGTGCCTTAAAACCCTGGCAGCCTGTGGTGTTGGCTTTCCAGATGGCTTCAGGACTTTCCCACAAGCAGCAGGACCCAGCGCTGTTCGGCTCCCGGTTCAGCATGATGGATGGTGGAAGATGACTCTGGGGGGGACGTAAGCAGCTTCGGAATGAACTGTATTTGTTGAGCAAGAGGCTGTGATTTTAATTCCTGGAGGACCACAGTGCCCGCAGCACTGGCTGAACCAGAGCAAGCTGGCCAGCCTCTCCGGGTCTCAGTGTCCCCTCCAGGAGCAGTAGGGTCCCCAGGCCCACCTTAGAGACACCCACCGGGACACACCTACTCCTTCACTCCTCCAAGGGACAGAGGGCTTTGTGAGGCCAAGCTGGGAATGTGCAGAGAGAATGCTCCCTTGTTGGGCAGTTTTCAGCTCTGAGGTTGGTCTGAGACTTGTAAAACAAATGAAATGGTCTGGGGAGATGTTTTAATGATCTGGTCTCGGAAGCTCTTTTCCAGGGACCTCGCTTGCCTTCTCTGCTCAAGGTGCACCCCCTGATGGCCCTGAAGCCCCAGCAATCTCATAGAGCTCCAGACTGAAGGTCTGGGAGGATTCAGGCCATCTCACCCCACTTCCTCCCAAAGTTCTGGGAAGAGGGTCATATAAAGGGGCTTCCAGTGGTGTTGAGAAGGACCAGGTCTGAAGGGACACTCGACACGTGGTGGGATGAGAAAATCTTGGCCATGGTCACACTGGAAATCACACACAGATGTTCAGGGGACAGACTCCGAAGTCACACAGACCCGGGTTCCAGTTCCAGTTCCGCCATTTCTCCACTGTGTGACCTTGGGGATGCCATCCTCTGTGACTCCACAGTGCCGGGCTCCTCACACGGGACACTGCTGTGGCTGCCAGCAGCATCCCCACAGTCTCCATCAGGACGGCCCGGCTCACAGCCTCGCTCAGGGGTAGCTGAGACCCCTGGGGTGTTTGTTTTGTTTTCTTTAATTGTGATAAAATACACATACCATAACATTTCCCGTCTTAACCATCCTTAAGTGTACACTTGAGTGGCATTCAGTATGTTCACATTGTCACGCACCCGTCACCACCACCATCCCTCTCCAGAACTCTTCATGTTGCAAAACGGAGTCTCTGGGCCCACCGACTTCCCAGTCTCGCCTCCCCTAGCCCAGCCCACCGATGGCACCCCCTATTCCACCTTCTGCCCCTGTGAATCTGGCGACTGCAGGAGCCTCCAGAAGTGGAATCCTTCCGTATTTGTCTTTCTGTGTCTGGCTTACTTCCCATCGCGTGACGTCCTCCAGGCCCATCATGCTGCAGCGTGCGCAGGAACTCCTTCCTCTCCAGGGCTGACTCACGTCCCGCTGTATCAGTGCACGTTCTGTTTGCTCATTCTTCTGTCCGTGGACGTTTGGGTTGCTTCCACCTTTTGGCTGTTGCGCCTGGTAGTAATTCTTGACTTCTGTGGGGCTCAGTTCCCCTGATCTATAGGAAGAAAAGAGTAGAGAGAAATGAAAGCACTTCACAGACTGTTGTGTGGATTCCATGAACCCCCTGTCCTCAGGGGCTGGCTGAAGGGAGGATCAGGGTTGGGCTGAGGGCGGAGCAACCAGTCAGGAGCCCACAGGAAGCAGCCAGGCCAGTAGGGTGAGAGGGAGAGGCCTGGGCAGGCTGTCCCCAGTGCGGCTGAGGTGGGGTGGCTGCAGGTTTGTGAAGGGACCTTGATAAGACGGGCATTGCTAGAGGGGACGTCCTTGGGGAGGGAGGTGCCGGGAGGGCTGGGCGGGGGGAGCCACTTAGAGAGCCAAATCCTTGCAGCTCAGGCCTCAGAGGAAGCCTGTTGGGGTTCGAGGCCCCCCTTTGGAGTTGATCAGCGGCGTGAGTTCTCCACCCCAACCAGAGATGAGATTTTTATGAGTTAGAAATGGTTTCCTTTTGTCTGGCCTCCAACAGTGCTGAGAAAGCCGTAGGCCTCCCTGGAGTTGTTTACTGTGCTGATGCTGCTCTCAGACGTCCAGAGTCATTGGGCAACGAGCTGGAGCCCTGGCTGGCCTGTGCTAGACCTGGCACCCTGAAATTTCATTGAGAAACCTCATTCCCAAAGAGCTCAGCCTCTGCATTCTCATCCAGAGGTTCACAGACAGGCAGTGATTAGGGACACGGGAAAGCTCCCGGCTTCCCACGGGGCTGCCCTTGCACTTTGCTCAAAGTGCAGTCAAGGGCTCCGTCGGCGTCTCAGCACCTCGAACCTGCCTGCAGTGTTGCTGAGGTGCAGTCACTGTGTCTCCAGCTTCACCCACCTGGGGACTCATAAGAACCAGTTACGCAGGCCGGGCGCGGTAGCCCACACCTGTAATCCCAGCACTTTGGGAGGCCGAGGCAGGTGGATCACCTGAGGTCAGGAGTTCGAGACCAGCCTGGCCAACATGGTGAAACTCGGTCTCTACTAAAAATACAAAAATTAGCCAGGCATGGTGGCGCGTGCCTGTGGTCCCAGCAGCTCGGGAGGCTGAGGCAGAGGAGTCGCTTGAACCTGGGAGGCGGAGGTTGCGGTGAGCCGAGATCACGCCACTGCACTCCAGCCTGGGCAACAGAGTGAGACTCCGTCTCAAAAAAAAAACAAAACAAAACAAAACAAAAAACAGTTACACAGTGGCTCAGGCCTATAATCCCAACGCTTTGGGAGGCCATGGTGGGATGATCACTTGAGCCCAGACGTGTGAAGCTGCAGTGAACTGTGATCACGCCACTCCAGCCTGGGTGACAGAGTGAGACCCTGACACACACACACACACGAAAGAACCCACTTACATTAAAGCCCCGCATTACACACACACACACACACACACGCGCACACACACACACACACACACAGAGGAAAGAACCCACTTACATTAAAGCCCCGCATTGTGATGGCCCAGAGGCCCCTGCAGCCAGTTATTTCTTGGGGTCCCAAAGAAGCACCCCTTTTGTACCCCAGGCTGGTGTGTCTGCTGCCAGCTCATCTGGTTCATGATTCCGCAAGGCAAGTCTAGTTGCCACCACTCCCAAACCTCTATCCTCCCGAGTTGGAAACTCTAAGGTTCAATGAGGTTGAGTAAGTTGCTCAGAAGACACAGCTTCCCCACCAGTCAGGTTCTTCCCCTCCTGCTCTGGCATACCCCTCGCCCCAGCCTCTGAAAAGAAGTTTTGCAGATGCCACTGTGGTGGCACCCACGGTGAAATACTGTCGTTCCCCAGCAGCCAGCCCCTAGCTCAGAGCCGTGTGGGTCCCATGCAGAGTGGGGGACAGTGGCCTTCTCCCAGCCCAAGGTGGTCTTCAGCGCTAGACCCTCTAGCTGGGACAAGTTTTCCAGCAGCATCCGTGGGCAAGACCTGTCCTATCCCTTGCAGCCTCAGTTTCCCCTTCTCCACATGAGCAGATCAATCAAGACAGACTCCCAGTGCCTTCCTGAGTGTCTGAGTCTCAGGCAGCAGCAGGAAAGGTTCTTCTGCTTGTAGAAAGAAGAAAAACAAGAAACAAGCAAAAACTCTGAGGCCAACCACCTGGCCAAAGGCCTGGTTTTGCTTGTTGGAGCCAGGTCTTAGCTGCAGCCAAGCTGGCCCTGCTCTCCCAGGGGCCGGGGCAACCTGCTCCACACCAGGCCCAGATGCCCTGGGGCACAGCCAGCCCCAGCAAAGGGACCACATCCCCAGAGGAACAGCCTCCCTGGTCGCCAAGGCCGCCTGCCCGGTAGCTCAGCATATGGGACACAACTGTCCTTGCACTTGGGAGCCACAGACTATGAAGGGCTCCAGGAGGCTCTAGCAACACAGCCTTAGGTGGGCCCCTTCACCTGGCTTAGCCCCAGAGTTCTCATCTGTGCAGGGAACACTAGCACCTTCTTCAGAGGACTGGCGAGGCAGAAGGTGAGCCTGCGGGGCGGGCACAGGGAGTCCTGGAGGAAAAGGGTCCCAAGTTCATGCTCACTGGGTGAGCAGCCGGCTTGGCACCCAGTAGATGTTGAACCCAGGTCACTGCCCATGGTGGGCTCTCGGCACCTGATAGTCCAGAGACTCAGGAGAGGCCGTCCGTCCTGCCCCCACTCCTGCGGCTCCTGCAATCCAGTCTCCAAGCCCGCCTGGCCTCTCTGTTGGTGGAAGCAGTGGAGTGGGAGCCCACAGTCAGCAGGGAGTGCAGCTCCGGCACACTCGCCCTCTCCCAGGGCCTCACCGCCTGTCTTCTCGCAGTCCGGGAAAGGAAGGGTGGAAGGCACTCCCTATCTCACTGGCACGTCACATCAGACCAGGTGGCCCTGTGTCTCTCCTAAGCCCTGGAGCTTGCTGGACTTGCAGTCTTTTCAGGAGAATCCCAGAAGCAGTGAGGAGACCTGAGGCCTCCCTGCCTGTCCCCTTCTCCCTCCCTCCCTCTCCCCCCCGCCCTTCCTCCCCTGAACACACATCACTTGGTCGTGTCCTGCAGTGGGAGTTGGGGACACAGAGCTGCCTGAGATGCAGAGTACATACTGCAGGAGGTCCTTTGTGCCAGGAGGGAGAATCGAGCACAGCAGAGCGAGTGGCAGAGTGGGGGACTGAGTGCAGGGGCAGCGTTCGCCTGATGCTGAGAAGGAAGGGGTCCAGGTTGGGGGCTGGGGCAGGATGATGCCCGGGGGGGGGTCTCTGGCTTGACTGCTTGGGTGCTGCTGGGACCTGCAGGTAAGTAACAAGGGAGGCAGGGGGCGCGTGGGAAGTCGGGAGGTGAGCTTGAGTTTGGAAGTGGTGCCTCCCAGTGGAGTTGGACATTTAGGTACAGAGCTCAGAATAAAGGGTAGACCGCTTGTCCATCTGCAAGTCGGTCACATGGCGCCCCCAGCACCGTGCCTGGTTAGGATCAGCCCTCAGGAGTGTGCATGACCAGCTTCATTCTCTCCCTCCACGAGGGCCCTATTCAGTCGGGGTCACATCCAGCCTGCCTGGCCTGCGGCTCACAGGCCCTGTATGCTCAGCAACACCCCAGTCCTGCCCAGCTCCAGGCCTGCAGGGGGCATCGCCCAGTGACCCTGGGAGGCAGGCACCCTACCCTGCCTGGGCAGCTGCCCACCCTGCCAGCATCCCTCCCCATCAGCCTCTGCCTAACCATGCCACCCAGGAGAGCCACCAGACAAATCCGTTAGTTCAGCTGCCCCAACACAGGCAGATGTCTTCATCTGGCTTCAGTTACCCAGACGGAGAACTTCCTAGTCGTACCCAGTGATTCCCATCAGGAAAGCACAGTGCTGCATTGCTTCGGATCTAGCAGAGTCTGGCTACTTCCCCCATTCCTGGCCCCTTTCCTGCCATGCCCCCTCACTCTGCCTGGGGCCCGGGGCCTACTGCTTCGCTGGGCCGAGCACAACCTGAGGCCTGGCAAGAGCCCCGAAGCTTTGTGGGTGGCCACTGGGCCTTCTTCCTCCTACAGCCCGAGGAACATGGTGCTGCGTGTGCCGGGGGGCTCCCGTTCCCGTACCTCGCTCTCATTGAAAACAGGCCCAGAGAGGAGGAAAGCCCCCCCCGAGAGTGCTGACCTGCCCCCCAAACCTGGGGCTTAGTTAATAACCAGGGCCAGTCATCCGGTGTGACTGGCTCTGGAGGTTCCCAGGCACCATCAGCCCCGCACAGGGCACTGGGGAGGAGACCAAGGCAGGTGTTTGGGCCACAACTGGTCTGAGATGCTGGTGGGACAAGCACGTGGAGATAGGAAGGTAATTGGCCGGACAGTGTGGGTGTCGCAGGCCTCGGCCAGGAGCATGGGCCTGGAGGTGCCTCATAAGCTGTAAACCCACACAGTATGAGGAGCTGTTGTCTGTTCTGAGGGTCCCAGAGTCCTAGCCTCACCAGCTCAACACAGCCCCTGGCAATTCCAGCATAAACCCCAAATTCAGGGTCTGTGTCCAGGATGGGAGAAAACCAAGGGCTACGTCCCTGGCATGCACTTTTGCCCTTAAAACTCAGGGGAGCAAGAAGTAACATGTTTTTCATTTTTAAGTTTTGTTTAACAATCCTCACCTCAAGTCCCCTGTCCCTGAGGCTGGCAAGAAATTCATTCTCGCCTCACCCCTGGGCCTGCAAATCTTTTGACGTGTCGTGTAGCACTGAGGGCCCCTCTCCACCTGAAGGGATCTCTTCTCTCTCGCTGTTTCTCAGAGACTGGCCCTCCCTCCTCCCCTTCCCTTAACAAAAGTCGAGAAGCACCTCCCACAGGACACACAGACACAAACATACATACACAGACACACACACAGAAACACAGACACAAAAACACAGACACACACATGCACACAAACACACATACATAGAGACACACACAGACACATGCAAACAGACACACACAGACACCCACACTCATTTTTCCATCCTGCCACAGACGCGATCGGGGCCAGTCTCCTGCATCTCCTTCGTGGTTGTTCTGGAAATTCTTGACGGGGTTTGAGGTTGGCTTTTGCAGGAAAGGGCAGTGCCTTGTCATAGGGTCACAACCTGTCCCACTGTCGCCTCCAGGCCCAGCCCAGATCCTGGCATACAGTGGGTGAGCAAGACGTATCAAATGCCATTTACACATTGCAATCTTGTACCTGCACCCAACTTCACTGAAACAGGGGCGAGAAGGGGCGCCAGGAAGGATGGCAGTGAGCGCCACAGAGGTGAGGGGAGGGAGAGGGAGGCCTCAGACCTCTGCTCCCACGGCCAGAGTCAAAGCGTCTCCTTCAGCGCTGAGGTTACTCTGGTCTCAGGGTCTGATGTGGGCAGAGGGCCAGAGGCGGAGGTAGGGGGTTCTGCACCGTAAATTCAGAAGGGCTTATAGCGCGCGGATGGAGGACAGACGTGGACAGGAAGCCCAGAAGGCGGCTGAGCAGCTCCCTGGCTCTGGGGAAGGAGGAGCTGGAGGCCCCAGCGAGTGGCGGAGACTGCAGGCGGATCGTGTAGTGCCTGTCATGAGTGGATTTCGGCGCTGCGCGGCCGTGATGGCCTCTTTGTTGTGTTGGCTTTGTTGTTTTACTTTAGTGAATATGAAGCAGCGTTTGTCAGGGCTTTCCTAAGATAACCCACCCTTACTTTCCTCCTAAGTCTGAAGTTTCTCAGCTGCAAACGCATCTGCCTCAGGAGCCTCCCATGGGAATCTTTGTGATTAGGGGAGGGCTTAGGAATGACTGAGTGAGCCGATGATTGAATGACAGAATGGGTGCGTGGGGCATGAGGGATGCGGCCACCTGGGGAGGGGGGTTGGCGGAACAGGCGAGGTAGTGGCAGAAGGAAGGGGTTTCTCCCCACGCATCTCCCCCTCCACAGCCAGCAGACCCCCTCGGGCAGGCCACTCCCAGAAAGCTGTTGCGAGCGGACAGGTGGGTGGCTGGGGCATGCCCCACGCAGCCAAGTCCACTGGCTTCCCTTCTCAATGAATGCATTCTTGTTTTCCTGTCTAGGGCCCCCTGGACGGCGCGGCAAGCCTGGGAGAAGAGGCGACCCTGGTGAGTCCCAGGTTTTCTCAGCTCCTAAGCCAAGGCTTGGAAGCCACCATGGCCCCAGGCTCTGACTGCAGGGCCTGGCCACCTGCTGCCCACCCTGAGTCATGCCTTGGTCCTGGGCAGGTGCTCCTCCCCCTTCCAAGTCCAGCTGCCGTTTCCTGAGGCCGCAGCACCCAGTACTGCCTTTCCGGGGCTTCTTGGCATTCACAATTCCAGGACTGTCCCCTCTGCCCCCAGTCATCCCCCGAACCTCGTTGTTGGCCCCTAGTCCCCCACTCCAGAGCAGCCCCCTCTCTCTGAGGCAGAAGGTGATGACTCCGCCAGCCACACCCTCCCCCATGGGTCCTTCAGCACAACCGGGTTCTCCTGTGGGTTTCATCCCTCCCCAGACGTGGCCTGTCCTTCCTTGGCAGAGCCGCCAGGAGGAGACTCCCCCACCTCCCTTCCCTGCAGCCCACAGAGGCACCTGTATTCACCACCCTTCCTTCCTGCTGTCTCTGCTTCACCCAGAACTCCCCCTACCCAGTCCCCAGCAGATTGCCCCCTTCGCCCAGGGACTTCCCTAAGCCCCTCTGACATCGTCTTAGCTAAAGTCATGCTGACCTCTGATGGCCACACTGGATGCTTTGCTGTCTTTCTCTTTCTTGACCCCCACCCTTGGCCACTCCCCCATGCTGGGCAGTCCCGGCTGTCTGGGCTGCGCTTCCTCCCTGCGCTTCCTCCCTCATCTGTGACCCGGGCTCCTTTGCCATTCTCACGGGACCCACCTGCCCCGTGAATGAATCTCCCTTGGTCGTCTCCTCTCCTCTCTCCCACAGTCTCCCACTGCTGTGACACTGACCATGTCCTCTCCCTGCCTCCAGCCACATCCTCTCCTCCGGGTCCCCGAGGTTGGACGTTGCCCTGCCGAAGCCAGCATCTCCCCCAGCTTTCTTCCCTGGGCTTCCCCGTCACAGGGAGGAGGCATCTAGCCACCTGCTTCCCTGTGTAGACACCTGGCTGCATCCTCGATCCCTTCCCTGCCCACGCCAAGTCCCCATGAGCCTCCTTCTCCATGTCTCGGACCCATGTCCTCTTCTCTCTTCTCACTGCCGTGACCTCCTGCAGCTCTCATCACCCCCCACGCCATGTCCCCACCTCCAGCCTCACCATGGATGTCCAGGGCTCTCCACCTTCTGAGCCTTCACTCTTATGTCTTCCCGCACCCAGAACATCTCCTCCTCTACCTGGACTCCCACCCCAAGATCATTACCCTTTGTCCTTCAAGCCTAGCTCAAGCATCTCCTCCAAAAAAACCTCTAATGGTTTTGTCCAAGAGGTATCGCCCCACACTCAGCACGGGCAGCCCCCAGGCATGTAAATGCACAGAACAGCGAACGAATGAATGCCCAGCCCCTAAGCAACTTCACAAGGTGGCCATGGTGACGAAGCCAGGCTGGCTCACCACCAAGAGGACCCCGGGCCAACTGGGCCCAAGGGGAGGCAGTGGCACGTTTTCTCCAGGCCTCAGACTCTTCTCCCTGGAGCTGGGCGCAGGCTTTCTGCCTCCTTGTTCCACTGGTTTGCAGTGTCGAGTTCCTTACGCAGAGACCCTCCAGATACACTCCTTAGCGCTCACCGGCAAGAAGCACCCTTCATTTCTCTCTCTGCCTTGACTTCTGGAAGCTGAAGCCTGTTTTGAGTTCAATGGCTGGAGCTTCCTTTAGCCTGGCTTCTGTGTGTAATCACCCGAGACCCTGCCAAATACACACTTTATTACTCAGCTCTTATTTTCTACCCTCGTAAAGGGTTTTATTGCCTTTTATTATAAGTTCCTGACATGCTTTTTGGAAGGAGATGAGGAACACAGAGTCATTTTTTTAGGACAAAGTATGATATTATTCAGCTTACTCCAAAATCCATTTAACTTATGACTCAAGTTTAAAACAACCTCAAAGTCAAGGAAAGATAGACTCACTGGGTCCGTGGCCCCGTGCTGGGCTCTTTCAAGTCCTTTATCTCATGCGATCCTCAGACACTGCAAGATAAGAATATGTTATTATACCCACTTGCTGATGAGGAAACTGAGGCTCCAAGGGGTACAGTACCTTGCCAGAGGCCAGCTGCTGGCCAAGGGGTGGGCAGGATCCCTCCCCCTCATTGTTTTTCCAGTGTGGTGTCCCGATTGTCTGCCTATCCAAAAACAAAGTGAGCTACACAGAACAGACGTGCCTCTCTGATGGGCCTTGTCTGGGCCTTGAGTTTATTTCTAGATAGTTACACACATATGCACATCCTGGCTTTCATGCCTTCCCTTGTATAAGGAGGCCGGAGGCCTTTTTCCTGTGTCTCTTGGGAGAAAGCCTTTTTTTTTTTTTTTTTTTTTTTTTTTTGAGACAGTCGCTCTGTCACTCAGGCTGGAGTGCAGTGGCACAATCTCAGCTCACAGCAGCCTCTGCTTCCCAGATTCAAGCGATTCTCATGTCTCAGCCACCTCAGTAGCTGGATTACAGGCACGCGTCACCACGCCCAGCTAATTTTTGTATTTTTAATAGAGACGGGGGATTTCACCACGTTGGCCAGGCTGGTCTTGAACACCTGGCCTCAAGTGATCCGCCCGCCTTGGCCTCCCAAAGCTCTGGGATTGTAGGCGTGAGCCACCGCGCCCACAGAGAAAGGCTCTTTTTTGCCAGGTAGGGCAGTGCCCGGCTGGGATTCCTCCCTGAGGCCGCTGCAGGCCTGCAGATAGGGTGATCCTGCCTGCCTTCAGTGCAGTAGCCTCCCTAGTTCCCAGCAGGAGCTCCACAGTCCTGCAGTGTTTCTATGTCTCTATCTGAAATGGGATGGATTTCCCACCTTCCCCTGGCTGGCTTCTTAGCTGGAGAATCCCAGAACTGTGCCTGCACTCTGGAGTCATCTTTCTTTCTAAGGGCTTTGGAGGATCCTCTCTCCTCCCAGACCCTCTTATCCCCAAGAGTGTCCATCACTCTCCCCTTCTCTCGCAGCCCTGGACACCTCCCTCCATCTCAGCGCTTCCCACACCTGAGGTGTTGGCCTGGTCTGCAGAGTTGTCCTGCTTCTCCACCAAAGCATGGGCTCCTCAGGGCAGGTTAGGCCCCCACTCAGGAGATGGTCCATAAATGCTTATTGATGGGAAGGAGGAGAGAAGGGAGAGAGAAAGAGGCACTTGTGGGCAAATGAAGATCACAGAAGACTGCTTGGCCAGTGCCTACACAAACCTACAGAGACAAACGGAGGCACTTCCCGGGTCTCCGCAGCTGCTAGCCTTCGGGCAACAGTGTCTGTGCTAGAGTCTTTTATCTGCCCTGATCCCAAGAAACTCTTTCTAAAAATCCAGTGGAAGAAGCACTTCTGGAATGGCGGAATGAGGACTTCTAAAGATCTTCTCCATAAAGGAGCAAAAACAAGGGGGAAGATGGACCTTTTCAGAACTCTGGAAATGAACAGAAGTTTTGCCACAGCCCAAGAAATGTTTATTCAGGAAATATCTGAATTTTGCTCTTAACAAGAACAGTAAGATTTGTAGCATTTTAATTTTCTCCTCTCTCAAGCTCATGGTAGCCTTAAAAACCAGCTTTAAAAACCATGCATGGCACACACATGTAATCCCAGCACTTTGGGAGGCCGAGGCAGGTAGATTGCTTGAGGCCAGGAGTTTGAGACCAGCCTGGCCAACATGGTGAAACCCCATCTCTACTAAAAATACAAAAATTAGCCAGGCATGGTGGTGCATACCTGTAGTCCCAGCTACTCAGAGGTTGAGGCACAAGAATCGCTTGAACCCAGGAGGCAGAGGTTGCAGTGAGCTGAGACTGCACCACTGCACTCCAGCCTGGGCAACAGAGCTAGACTCTGTCAGGAAAAAACAAACAAACAAACAGCAGTGTCACAACCACAGTACTTGTTTGTGAAAACTAGCAGCCACTTGGAGGAAGCAGAACAGGTTTGAAGCTTGCAAATGCTCATCCCCAGAGAACTGTCACTATTTGACTTGTCTGGCAGCTCCATGGAAAAGCACCATACCCAAGGCTTGTCTTTAAGTGACCTATGCACAGCTTGCTTAGAACAAAGAGCCCTGTCCCCAGGATGCTTAACAAAAATAATCAGCAGCAATTGTTGAACATTGAAGCTGCTTGAGGTGATAACACCAGTGGATGACTTGAAAACTTACAATAAAAATATAGGGAATGAGATGTTCAAAGGAGCTTTGAAAAGCTCCAGCTTATTCTAGGGTATCTGGAAGGCACATCAGCTATGTACATGTCCATTAAAAACCTGTCTTGGAGCCCCAGTCTCTCACCTCTGGCTGACCTTGAGATTGTTCAAGCAGGAAATGAAGACAAAGGCAGAGTTGTAATGTGGTGGAGCATCGAAGCCGTGCTCCAGCACACACAGAGGTGCAGCATTGAAGCCGTGCTCCGGCACACACAGAGGTGGATTGAAGCCGTGCTCCGGCGCACACACAGGTGGATTGAAGCCGTGCTCCGGCGCACACACAGGTGGATTGAAGCCGTGCTCCGGCGCACACACAGGTGGATTGAAGCCGTGCTCCGGCGCACACAGAGGTGGATTGAAGCCGTGCTCCGGCGCACACAGAGGTGGATTGAAGCCGTGCTCCGGCGCACACAGAGGTGGATTGACGCTGTGCTCCGGCGCACACAGAGGTGGATTGAAGCTGTGCTCCAGCACACACAGAGGTGCAGCATTGAAGCTGTGCTCCGGCGCACACACAGGTGGATTGAAGCCGTGCTCCGGCGCACACAGAGGTGCAGCATTGAAGCCGTGCTCCGGCACACACAGAGCGGCACACACAGAGGTGCAGCATTGAAGCCGTGCTCCAGCACACACAGAGGTGGATTGAAGCTGTGCTCCGGCACACACAGAGGTGGATTGAGGCTGTGCTCCGGCGCACACAGAGGTGCAGCATTGAAGCTGTGCTTCGGCGCACACAGAGGTGAATTGAAGCTGTGCTGCGGCGCACACAGAGGTGGATTGAAGCTGTGCTGTGCGAGGTGCAGCATTGAAGCTGTGCTCCGGCGCACACACAGGTGCAGCATTGAAGCCGTGCTCCGGCGCACACAGAGGTGGATTGAAGCTGTGCTCCAGCACACACAGCCCGCCAGCACAGAGTGGGAGACGTTGGATCAAGGCATTCAAGGAAATCTCTGTCTAACCTGACCACTAAGCTAAACAAGCAGAGAAGTCAGTAGCTGCACATGACAAAAAAGACACACTTTAAAGAATTAGTCCAGGAAAGGCCCTCAACGGAGAGCAACAACAATAAACAGCAACAACAACAAATCCTGGAAAGGAGAAGAGGGATCTGATTTCCAGAGTAGCCACATTAGATTAGTTTAGATGTCCAATTTTTAGCAAAAAATTAGAAGACAGGAAAGTAGGGCAGTAAAAAAGGAAAAAGTACAGTCAATAGAAACTATCCCTGAGGAAACCCAGATGTACTTGCTAGAGATGTAGTATTGGTTATTATAAATATGTTCAAAAAACTAAAGGAAACCATGTTTGAAGAAATAAAGGAAAGCATGAGAATCATGTCCCTCTAAATGGAGAATATCAATAAACAGATCAAAAGTATTTTTTAAAGAACCAAATAAAAATTCTGGAGGTGCAAAGTACCATAACTGAAATGAAAAATTCAGTAGAGGGCTTCGACAGTAGATTTGGGCCGACAGAAGAAAGAATCAGCAAACTTGCACATAGGTCAATTGATATCATCCAGCCTAAGGAACAGAAGGAGAAAAGAATGAAGGAAAATGAACAGAGCCTCAAAGACACTATCGAGTGTCCCAACATACACATAATGGTAGTCCCAGAAGCAGAGGAGAGAAAGAAACAAAGGAATATTTGAAAAAAATGGCCAAATCTTCTCAATTTTGAAGAAAACCATTAATCTACACATCTAAGAAGCTCAACAAACTCCAAGGATGATAAACTCAAAGAGATACATACCTAAGCACATCATAGTTGCATTGCTAAAAGCAAAAAAAATGAATCTTGGCCAGGCATGGTGGCTCACGCCTGTAATCCCAGCACTTTGGGAGGCCAAGGCAGGAGGATCACATGAGGTCAGGAATTCAAGACCAGCCTGGCCAACATGGTGAAATCCCATCTCTACTAAAAAAAATAAATAAATAAATACAAAAGCTAGCCAGGCGTGCCTATAGTCCCAGCTACTCAGGAGGCTGAGGCACGAGAGTTGCTTGAATCTCTCGGACCTGGGAGGCAGAGATTACAGTGAGCCAAGATCATGCCACTGCACTCCAGCCTGGACAACACAGTGAGACTCTGTCTCAAAAAAAAAAAAGAATCTTGAAAGCATCATGAGAGAAATAGCATATCACAGAAAAGGGATGCTCAATAATATTAACAACTGGTTTCTCATCAGAAACCATGAAAGCCAAACGGCAGTAGGATGGCATATTCAATAAATGACAAAAGGAAAAAAACTATCAACAAAGAAATCTATACCTGGCAAAACTATCTTTGAAAATTGAGGCCGGGTGCAGTGGCTCATGCCTGTAATCCCAGCATTTTGGGAGGCTGAGGCGGGTGGATCACAAGGTCAGGAGTTCAAGACCAGCCCGGCCAAGATGGTCTCTACTGAAAAAAAAAAATACAAAAAATTAGCCGGGCATGGTGGCATGCACACGCCTGTAATCCCAGCTACTCCAGAGGCTGAGGCAGAGAATTGCTTAAACCTGGAGGAGCGGAGGTTGCAGTGAGCCAAGATCTCACCACTGCACTCCAGCCTGGGCAACAGAGCGAGACTCCGTCTCAAAAAAAAAAGAAAAAAATTGAAGGAGAGTAGCCAGGCACGGTGGCTTATGCCTGCAATCCCAGCACTTTGGGAGGCCAAGGCGGGCGGATCATCTGAGGTCAGGAGTTCTAGACCAACCTGGTCAACATGGTGAAACCCCCTCTCTACTAATAATACAAAAATTAGCTGGGTGTGGTGGTGGGCGCCTGTAATCCCAGCTACTCGGGAGGCTGAGGCAGGAGAATCGCTTGAACCCAGGAGGCAGAGGTTGCAGTGAGCCGAGATCGTGCCACTGCACTCCAGCCTGGGTGACAGAGCCAGTCTCAGTCTCAAATAAATAAGTAAATAAATAAATATGAAATAAAAATTAAAAAATAAAAGAAACTAGAAAAATAAGAGCAAACTTAACCCAAAGCAAGCAAAAGAAAAAAAAATCATAAAATCAGGGTAGAAAGAAATGAAATGGAAAATAGAAAAACAGTAGAGAAAATCAACAAAACCAAAAGTTGATTCTTTGAGGAGATCAACAAAACTGACAAACCTTTAACTAGACTGACCAAGAAAAACACTGGAGTCTCAAATTACCAAAATCAGGGCTGAAAGGAAGGTACATCACTAGCAACCTTAAAAAAATGAAAAGGATTAAAAGGAAACACTAGTAACAATTGTATGCCTACAAATTAGATAACATAGGTGAAATGGACACATTCCTAGAAAGACACAACTGCCAAAACTGATTCAAGAAGTCAAAAATCTGAATAGACCTGTAACAAAGAGAAAGATTCAATCAGTGATCAAAAAACTTCTTACAAAGAAAAGCCCAGAATCGGATGGCTTCACTGATGAATTCTAACAAACACTTAAAGAAGAATTAATAACAATCTTTCACAAACCCTTTAAAAAATAGAAATGGCGAGAACACTTCTCAACTCATTCTGAAGCAAGATTATCTCTGATACCAAAACTAGACAAAGACATCACAAAAAAAGAAACTATAGACCAATGTCTTTTATGAACACAGACATAAAAGTCCTCAACAATACAAGCAAAGGAATCCAGCAAAAGGATTATAAACCAAGTGGGATTTAACCCAAAAATTCAATGTTGGTTTAATATCCAAAATCAATCAATGCAGTACATCATATTATTGAATAAGAGATAAAACCACATGATCGTCTCAGTAAATGCAGATAAAGCATTTGATGAAATCCACAAGTTTTCTTTATTTTAAAAAACTGACTCAGGCTAGGCACAGTGGCTCACTTTGTAATCCCAGCACTTTGGGAGGCCAAGGCGGGCAAATCGCTTGAGGTCAGGAGTTCGAGACTAGCCTGGCCCATTCTGCTCCTTTAGGGAAAAGTCCCTGAAGGTTGTTGTCTTTATTCTGGGGATGGGTTCATGCTTCTGAGAGCTGGGAGCCAGGGTGCAGCATCTTACCTGAGCTGGCTGAATGGGAGAGGAAGAGAGGCTCAATCAGGACCAGGGAGAGCAAGTCACAGGCAGAGGGGAAGTTGGGAGTCCAGGGGCAACAGAGAGGAGCAGGTGTGGGGCTGTGAGCAGGGACAGTGACCCTGGCAGCCTCAGGCCACTGAAGCCAGCCCTCACCTCCTGGTGTGTAGGCCTGGCCCCTGCCAGGCTATGGGAAAGACTCCTCCCCATTTGCATTTCAGGAAGGCTGGACACACCCTTTGGGAAACACTGGAGACATGATTGTTCCCAGAGAGGCTAAGAGCTTAAGGTGGGCATCGGGGACTCTCAAGATCACCACGCACCTCTGCTTACCTGGTAACACAACAAGCAGCTTGCCCACCTGCTCCTAACCCCGAGGTGTGAATGGGCAAGGTTCCCAGTTTGAGGAACTCTCTTGGGCCACATCCATTCAGCCTAAGAGGCCCCAGAATCATCAAACCCTCTACTTCATCAGATGCTTTCACGTATTTCCCAGGTCATCTGGCTTTTACTGAATTGCTCCCACATTCCTGACAGCAAAGTCAGTGGAACCATCCTATGCTTGGAACACATGTTTGAAGGCCGTGCGCAGAAGGGCTGGACCTCGGGACACCACCATATGGTCACCTGGAAGCCCTGCAGCCAGCTCGCTTTCTAAGCAGGAACCCCTGGCTGGCGTGGACCAACCCCTCTGTCACATCCATCACTGTTGGATGCCCAGCTTGCTGCAGGCCGTACAGTCCATCTCCAGAGGCTGTGGCAGCCACAGCACAAACCTAGTACAAGAAGTCAAGTGCAGAGGGCTCCGAAGATGTGACGGCCTCCAGGTGCTCTTGCCCTCTTCAGCCCTCATCCATTCAGCACATGCTGACTTAAGTGCTTGTGCCTACCCAGCTCCAATCTGGGCAGCAAGGAGACAATGAACTGGGCAGATGTGGTCCCAGGGATATGGTCCCTCTTAGGGAAGTGCCTTTCCGGGGGCTGACAGAAACAGTCCCCGACCCACAAGTAAATAACCACTACCGATTGCAACAGTGCATGGAAGGAAATAACCAGGGAAAGATGATAGAAACCAATGGGGGAAGGGTGAGGAGACATCTTTGTCTTTGACATCTCTGTTTTTTGTTTGTTTTTTTGAGACGGAGTCTTACTCTGTTGCCCAGGCTGGAGTGCAGTGGCCTGATATTGGCTCACTGCAACATCTGCCTCCCAGGTTCAAGCGATTCTTCTGCCTCAGCCTCCTGAGTAGCTGGGATTACAGATGCCCACCACCACACCCAGCTAATAATTGTTTTAGTATAGATGGGTTTTTGCCATGTTGGCCAAGCTGGTCTCTAACTCCTGACCTCAGGTGATCCACCCGCCTCGGCCTCCCAAAGTGCTGGGATTACAGGCCTGAGCCACCATGCCCAGCCTTGTCTTTGACATCTTTGGATGTCACAGTCGTGGAAGGTTTGTCCAAGGCAGTGGCAGTGGAGCCATGCCATGCCGGCTGCAGGAACACAGCCAATGTGAATGTCTAAGGCTGAAGGGAGCTGGCAGCTTGGGGAACTGAGAGGGAAGGATGGAGCAGAGCACCGTGCCCAAGGGCATTGGAGACTGGCAAGGACTGGGCCATGCAGGAAGGCTGGGCCAGGAGTTGGGATTTCATTCCGTGTGCCGTGGGAAGCCCTGGAAAGGGGTTGGGCATTTTGTAAACGCCCCTCTGGCTGGTGGAGTTGGGTGCCCAGGAGGAGGAGTCGGATTAGGAGGCTGTGACGCTGGTGCTGGCATGAAGCAATGGTAGCCTGGTGACATGGTGCCAGTAGGGCCCAAGAGAAGTGGTGGGCAGTGTGTTTTAAAGTCTTGTAGATGAGCTTGAGGTGGACTGTCCCACGAGCAACGAGATCAGTCTCCGGAACGCTGCCATTCCCACTCTGCCACCCCTCTGGAGACCATGGATGGTGCCATGGGTTTAGGGTCCTACGGGACTGCCTCTGGCTGGACTACCGCCTCACCAGCCGGGTGATTCAGACACACCACACACCCTCCCGGGGACCTCTGGGGAAGCTCAGTACACATTACCGCTCTTTCTGTGGTAGGAAAAAAAAACGGCGTGGCCAAGAAAGGGGGCCTGGGTCCTCCCACGGACGAAAGTGCCTTCCCAGCAGCCCCTGCGTGGGATCCGCGGGGGTCGTGAAGTGCGTATCTCACCTCTCTCTGCCCCAGGTCAGAAGAGGACATGACCCTGGGCATGGTAGCCTTTCTGGGCCTCAGTTTCCTCATCTGTAAAATGCACCTAGTGAGGTTGCAGCAGGGGTTACATGAAATGCTCTGGGGAACGCATTCAGTGGAGCTGCCGGTGCACGAGGAGTGCTCAGTGAGGGAGCGATGTTGACTCTTACAGCCCCTCCTTCGTCTCATCTGGGCTGCACTTCACGCCAGTCCCCAGGGCTCTGCTCTCAGGACCTCAGGCTCTCAGAATAATAATCCCAGCCTGAGCTTCCCTGGAGGCAGCTTGGACATGAGTGTGAGGAAAGGCAGCAAAAGCTGGGAGGAGCAAAGACACAGAGCTTTCTCCAGCCACTGTCAAGTTCAAGTGTGTTGACGCTTTTGACTCAGTGAGCTATACACAAATATCCAATGGTGTGAAAGAGCCCAGGGTGAGAGGTCAGTCTCCCTGCTGCTCCTGCCCTCTGGCCATTTGGCCCCCCTACTCAGAAGCAACCCTGATGACCACTTCCTTGCACCCACACCTAGAGATGTCCTGTTTATACAAACAAAAGTCTACAGATCATTTTTACTACATGCCATTCTATACCCTTTTAAAATGCAGCAATACACCCTGGAGATAGTTCCATATCAGAACTTACAGAACATTACCTTTTTCATGGCTGCATAGTATTCCATCTGCAGCTGCACCATCCTCTATTTAATCAGTTCCATCTGTGCCATTTCTAATACTTTTACTATCTCAACACTTCTGTGATGAGGACTGTTTTTACACCACATCCTTTTACATATGTGTTAACATAGCTGCAGAATACATTTCTAGGAGGATAATTGCTGTGGCAATTGGCACATACATTTTAAATCTTAGTATTGCCAGATCACTCTCTAGAGAGAAGGTTCCAATTTATCCTCTCACCAGTGTGTGAGGTGACTGTCCTCATTGCCCTTCACACAGTAGGTCATGAGATTTTTTTCATTTTTTTGATCTGATATGATTGTAATTTTAACCTTCATTTCTTTTATTATGAATGAAGATTAGCACTTATAGCTACAAAAGTTAATCCTCGTTCATAATCCAGATATTTCAGGGCTATTTGTATTTTCTGTTCTGTGATCTCTTCATTCATATCTTTGGATATCTTGTTTCTACTAGGTTGCTGATGTTTTGAGAGATGTCTTGTAGGAATGTTTGTATGTCAAGATATCTAGCCTTTGTGACATGAGTTAGATAGATGTTTCGTAGGTTGGCTTTGTTTTTGAGCCAGAGTCTCACTCTGTCACCGAGGCCGGGGTGCAGTGGTGTGATCTCGGCCCACTGCAACCTCTGCCTCCCAGGTTCAAGCAATTGTCCTGCCTCAGCCTCCCAAGTAACTGGGATCACAAGCACACGCCAGCACACCCGGCTAATTGGTTTTTTAGTTTTTTGTTTTTTGTTTTGTTTTGTTTTGTTTTGTTGTATTTTTAATAAAGACAGGGTTTCACCATGTTGGCCAGGCTGATCTCAAACTCCTGACCTCAAGTGATCCGCCTGCCTCGGCCTCCCAAAGTGCTGGGATTATAGGCGTGAGCCACCGCACACGGCCTAGGTTGGCCTTTGACTTTGCTTCCGAGACTTTTTGCCTTGCAGACATTTTTTGGGTTTATGTGGTTGGATCAGACCTCTCTTTTATGGCTTCTGGATTATGAACCATAGGTGGAAAAGCCTGCCCTCTCCCAGGCTAGAAAGGAATGTTCCCACATTTTCTTCTAGGATTTTTATGGTTTTCTTAACATGTAAAATCATTGATCCTTTTGGAATTCATCCTGGTTGATGCTGAGGCAGGGATCCAATTTCATTTTTTTGTGATAACTAGTGGTTATAACACATCTCTCCTTACTGTTTCCAGAGGCTCAGGTGTGGGGCACTGGGGAAGGAGCTCGGTAGTGATTTGGGGAGGGAGCTCGGTAGTGATTTGGGGAGGGAGCTCGGTAGTGATTTGGGGAGGGAGCTCGGTAGTGATTTGGGGAGGGAGCTGGGTAGTGATTTGGGAGGGAGCTCGGTAGTGATTTGGGGAGGGAGTTCGGTAGTGATTTGGGGAGGGAGCTCGGTAGTGATTTGGGGAGGGAGCTCGGTAGTGATTTGGGGAGGGAGCTGGGTAGTGATTTGGGAGGGAGCTCGGTAGTGATTTGGGGAGGGAGCTCGGTAGTGATTTGGGGAGGGAGCTCGGTAGTGATTTGGGGAGGCAGATCACCACGTGGAAGGCACCACTGGGTTCGGGCCATTGTCTTAGGAACAAGACAGTGAGGAGGGAAGTGTCAGGATCAGATCTGCATTTTGAGAACTATGACCCTGGCCCCAGAATGGGAGACTGGGGTGGTGATGGGGTGTCATTCTAGAAGCCATCTCTGATCCCACGTGCACCCACCTCATTGCTAGTCGGTTCCAGCCCCTGGGTCACCAGCCCTCTCTCCCACAGTACTTCTGGGTGAATTCCTGTGAATCTTGATAGCCACGTAGAAGCCCCTTACACAGCCTGGCCTCTGGACTCCGTGGCCTCCTCTCCTCTGATAGACTTGGCCTCCTCTGACAACAGCCTGTCCCTCCAGAGGTCTTGCCCGATATAAATGCAGCATCCACAAATTCTCAGTTCACAAATTCCAGCCCATTCCCTCTTCCTGACCCCCACAACCCTTCCATCTCCAGCCTTCAGATCCATGGATCCCAGCCCCTTGCCCCTCACCCCTCCAGCTGGAATCCTGCCAGCTTCCCCATGCCAGACCTCCCTGCCCCTCCCTCCTCCCTCATTCTTACTCAGCAAAAGCCCCACCCCAGACTGAACCCAGTCCCCTCCACATGCTCCACTCCAGTGCGTGCAGATTACCCAGCTGGAGAGAAACACCCCCAGCCCCCGTGGCCCTTTCTGCTGCCTGGCTGAGGCCACATTGTCCAACCCACTCAGCCTCTCCCGCTCAGTCCCCGAACACCTCCTGCAGCATCATCACCTGAGGCTGACGGCCTCGCTTCCTGCTTCACTGAGAGAGTTGGCACAATCAGAAGAGAACTTGCCCGAACTCCCACCTCCATGGCACATGCCTAGCAGCACCAGGCACTCTTCCTCCTGCCATCTCCACAGATGGACTGTCCAGGCCCCCATCTGTGCCAGCGCCAAGAGCCAGCCCTTCTCACCTCCTCAAGAATGTGGCTCTAGGACTCTCCCCTCCTCCCCCACACCGAATCCTCTCTCTCTGCTGGACCACTCTCATCCTACAAACATGTGGCCATGTCTCTCATCCTAAAGAAATACCCATATCCATCTCCAGGCCCCACTCCCACAAAGCAACTGTTCATTTCCTCCCCTTTGCAGCAGAGCTCCTCCAAAGCACCCACTGTCCACATCCCTCAACCCCCTTCTCTCTGAAACCCTCTCCCATCAGACCCCCCTCCTGTCACTCCCTGGACATGCCTCTGCATTGCTACATCCAGTTCCTGGTCTTCTTACTTGACCCATCAGCAGGGCAGTTACTTCGTCCTGTGCACAGGCGATCACTCCCTCCTGAGACACTTTCTCTACTTTGCTTCCAGGACTTCTTGATCTTCTCTTTAACTTGCAGCAGTGCCACGTGTGCCAAGCTTCTGACCCCTTCAGCCAAGCCTGCCCCACTACTATCTCCCCACCTCTGTTGACGGCAGCCCCATCCTTTCAGTTGCTGAAGCCAAAACTAGGGAGATCCTCTTGGCTGTGCTGTCAGAATCAATCCAGAACCCAACCACGTCCACCACTTCCACTGCCACCACCAGCTGTGAGCCACTGTCCTCTCTCCCCTGCAGCATGCAGTAGCCTCCAGGTTCTACCCCTGCTACCCCACACGGGGATCTTTAAAATATGAGCCAGGTCTCACCCTCTCTCTGCTCAAGGCCCTACCCAATTGCCCCACATTGCCCCTCTAAAGCCACCTCCCACTGTTTCTTGCTGTGAGGGAGAGAGCAGAGGAAGGGCAGGAATAGAACGGGGTGTGTGATCAAGGGATGGCTTTGCCAGCCGAGGAATTAGAGCATGTTTCAGAGCTGTTGGGCAGGACTTGCATGAGAGGGCAAGTGTGACTAAGATCCAGAGGGACCGTAGATGGGGCCAGGCTCTGGGCAATACAGAGGGGACAGTGGCCTAATTGAAGGTGGGTCAGTTCTTCCGAGTTAACCTGAAGGCATGGAGAGGAGGGCAGGTGCAGGGGCAGGTGCGGGCACAGGCGCAAGTGCTGGTGCAGGAACAGATCGAGGAGGAGGGGCAGGTGGAAAGGCAGGTACAGGTATAGGCATAGTTGCAGATGCAGGCGCAGGCACGGGGGAGGTACAGATGCAGGCACAGGCTGAGGTGCAGGTCCAGGCACAGGTACAGGCACAGATGTATACAACTGGTGTTGGAAAGGCGATGGCGAACCTATCCGGCAGCTTTTGTTTGCTTTGGAAAATAGGAATCAAGGTCATTGGCTGACAGTGAGGAGTCAGCTCAATGGGATGTCCAAGCTGCCAGCATCTTGCTCTGTTCCGCCCTGATCTAGACTTGGGGAAAGCACTGTCCCCCATGTCATCATTCTGGGGTGTGAGTACATCAGTGTTTCAAGCCAAAAATCCTTGTCATCTCTCTCCTTCCTCTATGCATCGCTACTGTGCGAGCCCCATCTCTCCCCTGACCAACATCTTCTGACTCTCTCCACTCCCCCCTCACCCACCAGCACCTGCATGGGGACACCTCAGCGCATCTCCAGGTGCACTCTTGCCCCTCCCCATCGCTCCTCCTTGCAGAGCCCTTCGCTGACTCCCCTTCACCCTTAGAACCAAGCCCCCCAGACCATTACATGGAAACAAACCCCCGGGCTTGGCTGGCCCTGCCTTCTCCGGCCCTCCCGCTGCTGCAGCAGCCTTCACTTCTCCTGGATCCTCAAAAGCCCGTGATCTTGGCATGTTCTGAGCTTGTCCATCTCTGCAACACTCCTCCCTCCTCTTTTCTCACCCTCTGGACTCGGCCCAGCCTGGGTCAGGGCCCTTGTGCTATGCATGGAGCTTCCTGGCCTTCTCCTTGTGTAATGTCCTCTTAAGGATCTGTCTGCTCAGTCAACATTCATGAGCCAGGGCTCTTGCCTCTTGCACTCACTACTGGTCCCGTTAGTTACCCCCATGGCTCCTGGCTCATACTTGGGACGTATAAATCGTGCTGGCCGCTGACTGCCGGGTGCTGCCTCCCCGTGTGGCCTCATTCTCGAGTGAGGTTCGGGGTCTGGTTTGGCAGCCGCGTGGCTTAGTGCACAGAGCCTAGGGGTGGTAGAGTTGGGAGACCTCCTTCCATCCAGCATGCGCTCACTCCACCATAATCAACGATGTGGCCCCACACAAGTCGCTGCTCTGTGAGCCTCTGCGTTATCAGCTGTCCAGTGGAGATGTTCATCAGACCTCTCACAAAAGATGGTTGGGAAGGTCAAATGCAATAACGAGTATGCAACATGCTTCACAAGCTGTGAGGTGAAGCCCCTGTGGGCCTCATAAGGGTTCTCTGTGAGCCCTCATCTGGTAGACAAGCCTCAGCTGCAGCCCCAGGCCCTGCTACTCCTCATGCATTTCTAACCCTGGAGCTGGGCAGCAGGAGCCCCCTCCCCCAAAAAGCCTGTTCAGCCACACCCATTTGCCATTCCTCCCAGTATTCTCTCTGTCCAAAATGTTTGCTCCCCCAGTCTGCCCTCAATAGAAATAAACCATCCCCTCAGGAGCACCAGAGCTTGTCCTTTAAGTAGGAACATGTTCCAATTCCTACTCAGTGCCAGAACCCAAAGCTGCCTGGTGACATGAATGCATGCACCCATGCATGTGGGAACTGTCACCACCACCCCCGTGACCATCCCGGCCCCTCCAAGGGCAAAGGTGCTCCTTCTGCTCTGCCCCCAGCTTCAGGCCGTGGCAGGAAACAGCCATGGCAGCATCAAAGCCTTCCGGGGAGAGGTGGCCAGGAGCCGTGCTGAGGACAGGTGAGGGGACCGTGCTGAGGACAGGCGAGGGGACTCTGCCTTCCACACTGACTGTGGCTTCTCTGCTTGTGTTTTGCAGGTCCTCCAGTAAGTGTCCTGGACTGTGCTGTCTGCTTCTGAAAGATAAGATGTTTGGTTCTCTCTCTGTTGCAATTCCATGAACATAATTTTGGTTAGGGAGGTGTGTCCTCAGAAAACATCAGTCCTATTAAAAAGTGGCCAGGTGCGGTGGCTCACGCCTGGAATCCCAGCACTTTGGGAGGCCAAGGTGGACAGATCACTTGAGATCAGAAGTTTGAGACCAGCCTGGCCAACATAGTGAGACCTCGTCTCTACTAAAAATACAAAAAATAGCCAGGCGTGGTGGCGGGTGCCTGTAACCCCAGCTACTCAGGAAATCGAGGCACGAAAAATTGCTTGAACCCAGGAGGCAGAGGTTGCAGTGAGTCGAGATCGCACCACTGCACTCCAGCCTGGGCAGCAGACAGAATGAGACCCCGTCTCAAACACAAAAACAAAAACTCATGTGTTTGGGGGGAAAAAATCAGTCATACAGGAGTCATGTTATATTTTAATTTGTAGATGAATGCAGGCACAGAATTCCACAGGCTTGACCTGTTCGCCGGAACGTTCTGTGACCATTTTCCTAGCAAGAGAGCCAGCGCACAAGCCTGGTTGTTCCTCACCAAATCTTGGGCTCACCTTGGTACACGGAAATGCTAGCACCATGTCCGTAGCTTTAAAATGCTCCGTGACAGTTGACGTTTCTAAATGCTTCAGTGTCCCGTGCTTTGGCAGAAAGAGCTGTAGAGTCGGGCAGTTGTCCCAGGAATTAGTCGGGCTTGACCACTAGACCCTGGGGTTCATTTTTCTTCTTTGCCAGAATGTGGATCAGACAGCTGAGACCTTGTGAGCACACCTGGCTGGTGAGGGCATGGCACTGGAGCAGGAGGAAAATGTCACTGCATTTGTGAGGGGTGTGAAGGGTATGAGGGAAGCACTGGGCAGCTCCCTTGAACTTCTCCTGGCCGGCCAGAGGCAGGTTTGAATGCAGGGGATTGCAAGTGGTCCTAGAAATCCCATTCATTCTCCAGGGCAAAGGATGTGCCTGCCTTTGATTCATGCTGTCAGTTTTTCAGAGCCCGGTAAATCCCAGTTAATCCACTCAAGAAGCACATTGACAGTCAGAGCCAAAATCAGCCTTCTCAAGGAATTCCTTTCAGATGAGCCCTTTTATTTTTTACTTCCGTGTACCATGATTGGTTTCCCGATCAGTGCCCTTCGGAATCTGGGCTTCTCGGTGCATGCAGCCCCACCGTGAGCCAAGCAAGACAGCAGGATTGTGTTGATTTATTGGCTTCAAGCGATGTTTGGCAGCTGAGTTCTTCCTGGCTGTCTCAGGGAGGCTAGCGTGTGTGAACTTGCTGAAGTACCTAACGCCGGGGGCTATAGAGTGTTTTTTTTGTTTCTTTTTTAACTTGGCAGTTAAAATAGTAAATGAATTAAACAAATGCAGAAATTCTCAAGCTGCAACCTGGAAGGGTCTGACCTGGGAGATGGGTGCCCAAGTGTGGAACACAGGCAGGGTGGTCACTGCTCCAGGGTCTGGAACTAGGGGGCAGAGAAGCATGCAGCCACAGTGAACGCCCCCCGATATTCCTGGCTTCTAAGGCTCTCTTTCTTGGTTCACCCCATCCCAGTGGCAACTGAGAGGAAACAGGCTCTCTTCCAGGCCTAGTTTAAGGAGCATTTTCAGTTCCTGGTTGGTCGTGTGGTTGTGGCTGCACCCTCCAGAACCCCACGTCCCCACGTGGCATTTACCCTATGCCTGGCCAGCGTGGGGAGGGCACACATGTGACTGTGCCCGGAGCCCCGATGAAGCCCTGAGGCTCTTGGTCCCTCCAGCCTGGCCCTCTGAGGCAGGAAAGGGCTGCTCTGCCCCCAAGACCCCTGGAGCCCTTGAGTCCTCCCGCTGCAGAGGAAGTCACCAACCAGCTGTCGGGGGGCGGGTGTGGGTCTGGGCCCTGATTGAGCTCTAAGTGTTGCCATATGGTTTCTGCCGAAACTCTGATTATTAATGACATATTAATTACCACAGGGGCAATCAGGACGAGATGGCTACCCGGTAATTTGTCATTTATTTTTTTGCTCTCTTCACCCTTTTCTCTTAAACCAATATTCTTTCCCTGAGCCTTGATTTAACTCTGTCTGCGCTCCTGTCTCTTCTGCTCCTCAGCAGCCGTGGTCTTTCTGTGGAGGCGATTAGCGTGAGCTCTGGGGAGGTAAAGGCTGCACAGATCTCCAGGGCTGCCCTGGAGGCAAGGCAGAGCACCTCGAGCAGGTGTCTGGGTGGCACTGAATCCACCTGCCACTGCTTCTTCAGTAAGTCCAGCCAAGAGCCAACAGTCCAGCCCCCGCACTGTGGCGTGCTCCACTGGAGGGCTGGGCCTCTTCCCAGTGGGCAGAGGACTCCCTGTCCCAGCCACCGCTCCTCGTCATCACTCGATAACAGGAGACTGGCTGGTTCCAGTTTGGCTGTGGTGTCATCCCTTGGCAGATCTCTTAAAATTAACCCAAAAGCTAGCGCATTCCTGGGATAGATGTCCTAGCCCCGGCCAAGTGAGCACCACGTCAGCAGCAAGACGCAGCGTGGCTGTGCCGCTGTCAGGTCCTGTGCGGGGGTTGAGGGTCGTGGCAGCAGCATCCGGAGGTCCTGGGATGTCAGAAAGAGTAGGGGGAGCCCAGCAGCAGAAGAGATTGGCAGGGCCGTCAGGGGAGGGGCAGATTCATTTTGTGCCTCCAGGGCAGGAAGATGCAGGGAGGGAAATGCTGGCTGATTCGGGACAGATCTGTGCAGTCAGGACGGCTGGTGATAGAGAGCGGTGGTCCCCGGTCCTGCAGCGGAGGAGAGGAGGCCAGCCCCAGCACCAGGGAGACTTGACGTGGGGTCCACTCTGCTTCCTCTCGGCTGAGTGACCTTAAGAGAAGGTGCTCACCTTCGCTGAGCTTCAATTTCCTGCTCTGTGAATGCAGAGATGAAGGCACATGATGTGTCACAAACCCAGCCCTCCAGGACTTGGTGGTAACTCTGGGGAACATTGACTTCATGCTGGAGTGGCCCCGTGCTGGGCTGAGTCAAGTTTGGGATCTCCCAGGCAGTCCGGGCAGCTCCCCCAGCAATGAGCAGCCTGGCCTCTCAGACTCTGCGGAAGTAAGAATGAAATGTGAAAACCAGCTGGGACCCACCCTCATCCCATGGCACACCTGGGGTTAGGGCCCTGCCGCAGTCCCCAGCTGCTCTTCTGATTAGGCAAGGGTCAGGCTCCCGTCTCCTGCACACGGCAGCCCGGACCTTTGGGCGTCCAGCATCTTGGGGAAGCACAGGCTTTCGCTGGAAAGTTCAGCCCCGCATCTTGGCATTATTCGCTGTACCAGTACCGGCTCGGGAGGACCGGAGACTAACAGAACCACTCCTGGCATGACGCAGTTCCCTTCACCCCGGGTTACTCTGTATTCACAGGTCCAGAGGGGAGAGGGTGGGGTGTAGATGAGTGGTTTCCTCCCCCTCTTCTCCATTGTTTCCTCTGAGCAAAGTGACCCAGCGGTCCGGTCCGTTCCCCACCAGCCTCGAGCATCGGAGAGGATGCTGCCTGCTGCCCCGGGGGAGGGGCAGGGGGCTTGTTCTCAGCCACACCAGAGCAGGTGCCAGGGTCTGCGTCCCACAGAGGCCTCTTCTCCCTCACTCCTTCCTCCCAGGACCCAGTTGGGTGCCGGCAGCTGGCCCTGTGGCCGACAGGCAGGAGGCTGGGTGCGGATGGAGTAGCTGGGCGTGGCTCTCATCTCTGCAGCTCACTCGCTGTGAAGCCTGGGGAAAGGAAAGCCCCTTGGCTTAGAGCACCCAGAACGCGAGCCAGGCCAAACCCGGGGCTGCTGTCCCTGGGGCCATGACAGGACTGTCGGGAATTAAAGACGAAGCTGAGTGTGGGGGTGGTATCGGGCTCCCTCACACCTGGGCCTGGCCTGGAGAAGGGGCGCTGTGACTGTCGGGGCTGGGAACGGAGAGAAGGATGTGTGTGGAGCCCCGCGGGCGTCCCTCAGGCTTGACACTGGGAGCTTTCTTGGAAGGAAGAGAGCTGGGGTCCAGCAAGCCCCCCCACTTCCTCTGTGTAGGCAGCTCTGGCAGCCGTGCCCCTGGTCCTACCAGCAGCTCCCCAGTCACTGGGAGGCCTGAGCAGGCTGGGCCTGGTGAGGGATGAGGGCACCCTGTCAACGTCTCCAGGAAGCTGGTATCACAGCCCATGATGGCCTTCTTCCTGAGGTCGCCCAGCCCCAGCTTACACACAGACCCCCATTTCCACACGGAGGTAGGCGTCTTCCCTGGGTGGGCTGGATTCAGGGCGTTCACGTCGCCAGCACCAGGAGCAAGACCAGCTGTGTGCCTCCAGACCCCTCGTTCTCACACCACCACCTGGGCCACTCCTTCCGTGAGACCCACAGGGTGGGGCAGACACCCCGCTCAGCTTCCCCATTCGAGGAAGGGGAGGACCTTTCGCAGGCTCCTGGGGCCCAGTCCTGAGTGGAAATTCCTATCTCTTGGCCTGTGGAGGACAGGAGGGCTCTGCCCGGCTCTCAGCCTGGGGTATATTTGCAGATGGCTCCATGTGGTCATCCCAGAGGCTGGGGTGACTGCCTCGTGCTGAAGGGCCTGGGCCACCTCGGAGGCCCCTCATGTGCAGAGGATCACCGTGGCTTTGAGTCAGTCACCTGTGTGGACTTGGGCAGGCTACTTGGGCCTGGGGAGATCACACCTGCAGAGCGGGGTTAACTGAGTGTGAGACACAGAGGCCATTTCCAGTCCTGTGTGTGGCAGCCCTTCTATAAATATCACTGTCTTTCCTCATCGTTGACAGTCTCAATAGAAGAAAAGATGGGTTTCAGAAATCATTCTAACCTACTCAGTATAAATTTGCAATATTTGGAAAGAAAAACACCTTTGAGAATGGTCGGTTTTAGAAAAAGCATTTTTTGGTTTTTTGTTTTGTTTGTTTGTTTTTTGTGTTTTTTTGTAGCTTAGTAAACTTCAGGACCAGCCTCAGGGAGGACTTACTTTTTTCTCTTTGTGCCAATATCTTATCACTTTCTAAGAGCAAGGATAGAGTCTGGCAGGAGACTCTGGTGGTGGAGACTGTCGGTGCTTTTCTGGATTAACTCAGGCCAGCTGCCTCAGCTGAAACCAGGTCCATGTGTGGACCTGATAGGAGTGGCTGGAGGACACGGGGCATAGGGGCCACCCACATCTGTGGGGCAGGTTGTGGACTTGAGGAAGTCAGAGCCGACAAGGGCCCGGCTCGCCCTGTCCATGCCCTCCGTGTACAGAGGCTGGCCTGTCCTCTCTGCTCCCGAGGATGCATTAACAGCCTCTTCTGATTACAACAAAAAGCATGTTTATTGTAAAACATTTGGACAATGGAGAAAAACACAAGGAAAAAGCATCTCTAATTCTGCCACTCACAGATAAGTCCTCTTATCTTGGTGGTGGTTCTAGTATTTCTTATATCCAAGTTTGCTTTTATATTTATTGCTTTAAAAATAGAATTACAAGTGCCTTCTTAGTGCAGTGGGCAGCACGTCAGTCTCATAATCTAAAATACAATTACATTGGACATACTTTTTTGTACTATTTTTTTCACTAAATATAGCATGAGACTTTTCTGCATCATTAAAAATCCTTAGAGAATGTAATGGCTACATTGTATTTGATCCGATATATCATTTATTTAGTCTCAAAGTTAAATTATTTATATTGACAATTTTTCACCCTTACAGTCAACATCCTGGGAATAAATATAGCTTATTTCCATGATTATCTCCTTAGAATAAATGACTAAAAGTGGAATTGCTGCACCAAAGGGTTTGCACATGTGTAAGGCTTTTGATGTGTATTGCCAAATTGCCCTCCAGGAGACTGTACTAATTTACATTCCCACCAACAATGAATAAATGCTGTCTATTTCCCCAAATGCTGGCCAACTGTGGGTATTACACTTTTAAAGCTATGCCAATATAAGTTTTAAAATATATACATATATGTATGAATATTGTTTTAATTTAGGGCATATTTTAATTAGAACTAGTCAGAGATTAAACTAGTTTTGATAAGGTTTGTGTAATCCTGTCACCTCGTGGTAAAGGTTGGAATTGCAGGCATAGAGTTTAAAGAGGAAATCACCCGTGTTTAAGAGCTTTTGGATCCCAACTGGTCCAGGGACGGAAGACATCATAGAATCAACAGCATAGGGATAATTCCTAACTCAGAACATTGTGGATCAAAAGTTGAGCCTTCAGAGGAGCCCTAGGCACGGCACTCTTGCATTTTGGGGTAGTAATCAGTATTTATGTGGATAAAGTGATTTGCCCATCTCAGAAATAGGAGGCTTGGCTGTGTTCAACAAATCTGGTGGGTGTCATACCCTGGCCTGGGCACTGGGGTGGCACAAAGATGGATCAGGCCCAGTCACAGTCTTTAGAGAACCATATGGGAATGGGAGTTTGCCCTGGGATAGAGAGGAATGAATAATTAGAAGCTCAATGTCATCTTCCCGGAGGTATCTTGTTTATCATGAGCGCTTTTTCCTCTCTAAACTGTGGCATCTGACTAAGATGAAACCACCTGTCACTCATGCAGGGCTTAATCTTGCCTGAACTTTGACTTACACAGAAAACATTAGACTTTCTCATCATCTCCTATTTACAATGTCACAATGTTTGCTTTTCCTCTTCTTTGGTAGTTTGATTGTCTTAACTCTTAACATTAAGCTTTAGTGACTTTCTGGTTTGTTTTACACATTCAGAAAGCTATTTAAACATTTCTTCGATATCATTTAATGTACTTACAAGAGAATAAAACAAGGATGTGATGAGAGTGTTGGCTGGGTGAATGGACAGGTATAATTTGGATTAAATAATCAGAAGGTTCTTGAGGAAAGTAACATTGAAGTGAGATTTAAATGATGAAAAAGCTGCAGAGATCTTGGGGGAGATCCCGGCAGAGGAAAAAGCAAGTGCACAGGTCATGAAGTTGGAGCAAGCTTTGTGTGTTCAGGTACACTCAAGGTCAGTGTGGCAGGAGTGAGTGAGCAGGTGACAGGAAACGATAGGAAGTGAAGCCAAAGAAGCTCCCAGAGCTGCACCAAGTAGAACCAAGACAGAGGCGAGGGCTGGGGGATGGAACTTGACTCTGTGTTTATAGAAATCACTTGTCCCGGCCGGGCGCGGTGGCTCACGCCTGTAATCCCAGCACTTTTGGAGGCCAAGGCGGATGGATCACTTGAGGTCAGGAGTTCAAGATCAGCCTGGCCAATACGGTGAAACCCTGTCTCTACCAAAAAAAATAAAAATAAAAATACAAAAACTAGCCAGGTGTGGTGGTACATGCCTGTAGTCCCAGCTACTTGGGAGGCTGAGGCAGGAGAATCACTTGAACCCAGGAGGCAGAGGTTGCAGTGAGCCAAGATTACGCCACTGCACTCCAACCTGGGTGACAGAGCAGAGCGAGACCATGTCTCAAAAAAAAAAGAAAAAAGAAAAATCACTTGTCCCCAGAGATAGACTGCCAAGGGGTTGGAGATCCCCCACTCATGGTGCTTCCTTTGGGAACAGAGAAGAAAAGACTGTCACCCTTCATCTCCCAAAGCCCTTCCAATGTGCCAGGGAAGCAGGTGCAAGTATTGAGTGCTTGCTGGGTGCGCACTCATGCATGCCGTCTCACCATGGGAGGCTAGTGGTTTCAACCCTACCTGACAGATGAGAAATCTGAGCTCAGAGGGTGACAGGACTTAGCTGAGACACACGGCCTGCTTGCATGCCAAAGCCTGGATTAGCACCCAGGCTATGTGACCCTACTCCCTCACACCAACCAGCCAGCCTCTCAAGCTGTCTACAGTAGCAGGGCCGGGGCCAGGATGGGCTGCTTATTGGCAGGAGAGTGCTTCTCAGACCACCCCCAGAAACACATACTTGGAGAGGATGTTTGGTTTCTCCTGCTCATACCTGTCTGTATCCAGCCCTGCTGCTCCCTTCCCAACTATTGTATTCCACCCCTGGTATCAAAGTGTTAGGATGCTTTCCTGCTTTACGAAAAAAGAAAAACAAAAACTAAGTCTAACTTAAACTTAAAAGTCCATTTCTTCATTTCACCTCCTCTCCTATTCCTCATTCATACCTCCGTGTCATAGCCGTTATTAGAAATTAGGAAGAATTTCTAAATCTTCCCCTGGTAATGAAATGTCCAGTTCTGTATCACTGTGCAGGGTGTCCCTGCAGAGGAGCAGCTGAACGGAGCAGGGCATGCTCAGCCTGGGCAATATGGCAAAACCCCATCTTTTTTTTTTTTTTTTGGAGACAGTGTCTTGCTCTGTCGCCCAGGCTGGAGTGCAGTGGCATGATCTCGGCTCACTGTAACCTTCGCCTCCTGGGTTCAAGTGATTCTCGTGCCTCAGCCTCCCAAGTAGCTAGGATTACAGGTACGCACCACCACGCCTGGCTGATTTTTTTGTGTTTTTAATAGACACAGGGTTTTGCCATGTTGCACAGGCTGGTCTCAAACTCCTGAGCTCAGGCAATCTGACCACCTCGGCCTCCCAAAGTGCTAGGATTACAGGCATGAGCTGCCAATCCTGGCCGAATCCCCGTCTGTTTTAAAAAATAAAATTTTAAATCAATCAATTAATTATTAAAAAGTAGAAAAGGCCTCCTTGGCTACAGGGCAGAAACTGGAGGAAGGGGTGCGGGTAGGAGGCGGTTGCACTAATTTGCTGGTGAAGCCTGAATGACTAACAGAAACGAGGGCTGGCAGGCGTCACAGGTCAGCTCTGAGCACACCCAAAACCACACGCACGGCACCTCCTGGGCCCCGGAGCGCCGTGCCCAAGCCCCTCTGGAGTCGAGGGAGCGGTGACTGCACTTCATCTCCGGCCTCAGTCCTGGGAGCAGCGACAGCCGGGGCCCCAGGGGACTGCGAGAGCTCTGGGCTGAAATGTGGTCTGTGAGACGGGGCCTCGGCCTGGGACCAATTTTGAAATGAAGGACTCGGATGGACGGTTTGGAATTAATCAAGTGAACAAGAAAGGCCCATGGAGCACCGCACGTTCACACGCTCTCTTGCACTCTTGTAGTTCAAAAACAGCTTTGATTATAAAAATGTAATCAGTTAAACGATTTATCTGAAATATCCCAAATTCATCTGTTTTTAGATTTCAACATCCTCCATCTCATTTCCGTCTGACCCCTACAGTGCCACCCCACAATCCCCAGATTCTAGTGAAGCTGAGACCGGATGAAAGCCGACTCCGGAGTCCCTGATAATGGCACGCAGACTGGAACCTCAGGGAGATGCAACCAGGGCCACCATGCTGGCCGTTCTCCCCAGGGCCCTAAGTCTCTTGAGTCCAGCCTCTTGTCTTGGTCCAGCACTGTGTCCCCAGTGTCCCCGTGAGTGTCCCATGTGGGGCAGCCCATTCACAGGAGGCGGCCACCCCAGGTCAGTGGGGCCCGAGCTGCTGCTCCGCCCTCGGCTCCCAGATGCCTCCTGTATCTGCTGCAGTTTTTTGCATCCTCCTGGCAGCAGCCCAGGTACCTCCTGTCCACACCTAGCTCTGGGAGGAGACTTAGCAGGGACAGCAGTGTAGGGGGCCCAGCAGAGGGGGTTGGTCCTGCGCTTTGCTGTTTTGCCTGTGATATGTTTGCAGCGTGGTCACTGGCTGGAACCGCCTCCCACTTCCCCAGGCAACAGACCAGCCCCACAGCATCCTCGCCCCATCACATGGAAGAACATGTTCACAGACCTGCACAAAGTCACCGAGCCAAGCCCAGGTCTTCGAAGCAAATAGACTAAAGAGAAAGCAGTGATTTTGGTATGAAGCTGCCCCCGACCAGGACCCAGGGCTGGCACGATGTCCAGCCCATGCAGTGGAGACAGAATGGGCCCAGGGGTCTATAGTCCATGTGGCCTCAGGCACGTCCCTGGCCCCGCCAAGCCTCGGCCCCTTCAGCTATTGGGGGAACCAAGGAGATGACGCAGGAGAGCTTCAGAGTTGGGCACACGGACTGGGTTCAGGGACCGTTCCCACTGCTCTGTCCATTACCAATGCCAGCCAGGGAAGCCTGTGAGGCTGAAGGCGCCCCTTTTGGGCCTGCATCCTCAATGGCCAGCGTCCTGGCTGATCGCCCAGGCTGTGGCCCGAGGGCGGGAGTCCAGCGCAAGAGTCCGCCAGGGCTGGAGGCAGCCTTCGGCAGGTCAAGCGCGCCCTCTAGTGTTCCCTGGCCGGGCACGAGAGCCAGCAGGATGGACGTTCATTCAGAGAATCGTTCCCTTCACCGTTGTTGATCCATTCAGCGGGTATTTACTGTGTTCTCGTTATGTACGAGGCGCTTCGGCATTTGGGATACGGTAGCAGGAAACACATCCAGGGGTCCCTCCCCACTTGGAGCCTGTGGTTGAGTGGCAGACAGAACAAAAAACTCCCACAAATTCCAGCTTCACTATGCCTCGTGGCCAGGGCTAGGAGGCGGGGCTCCCGTTACCCAGACCTGGCCTGGTGGGGGTCAGGGGCACCGCCTTGAGGAAGGGAGGTGTGAGTCGAAGTCAGAAGGTGAAGAGGATGCTGATAAGTGGGGAGTTTCAGGGGGAACATCCAGAGAGGGTGCACCCAAGATGGGCCGGGATGGTAAGGGCGTAGGGGGAGGTGAGAAGCCTGTGTCCCTGGAGCACCCAGCCTTGAGGAATTGGCCATCTCTTGTCCACTCTGGAGTTCCACCCCGGGTGGCTGGACAAAGGGGCCCACAGCCCCACCCACCCAAGCTGAGAGCCCTCCCTGGGCTGGAACCTGAGGCCTCGTCTTCCCAGCCACGTGGAGGTTCTGGGCACAATTGAACCAGGCGCTGCAAGGTGGAGGGTCTAGCCTGAGAAGGACCAGGCTTAAACAAAATCTTTGCAAACCCCTCAGTCTGCCCGGGGAGCAGTGAGTTCCACATCACCAGGGGTGTGCGAGCCAAGGCTGCACATCCTCCGGTCAGGAAGGGCATCTGTGGTGGGCACTGGAGCCATGTGGCTGGTCACTGTGGGAGGAGAGGTGGCAGGAAGACAGAGCAGTGAGTCCATAAGTGAGAAACTGGCGGGGGCGGGAGCTGAAGAAGGCTCCTCAGAAGAGGTGACACGTGAGTCTGGAAGGAGGCGCTCAGGAGGAAGAGGTTGTCCTTGAATGCCAGGCCAGGGGTACAGCTTTGCCCTGAGGGCAGTGGGTGAGGGTGTGCCAGGTGCTACAGCAGCCAGAGGAGGGGCAGTCAGCAGGCAGGGCACAGGGCTCGAGCAAAGCTTTGGGCTGGTGTCCTGGCCTCTCCGAGCTCCAGATCTTCATCTGTGAAATGGGGATGATGAGGCTTCTGCCTGGCCGGTCTGTGGTCAGGGCCAGTGACATCTAGATAGGGAGGGAAGGGCCCACATTGCTTCAGCTCCACTCTGTTCCCTGGCTTCATTTACCCCAGGGCTGGCCCAGCGCGTCACAGCTGCTCTCATTAACCCACCCTTCCCCTGCTGCCTGCTGTGAGCCCAGATCCAGGGAGCCATTCCATCCGCAACACACTCAGTTTGCAGAGGAGGAAACGCGCTCCAGGGAAATTCAGCAGCTCACTCCCAGGTCTACGGGGCAGGACCTCATCATCAGGATGTACCCTGCTCCTTCACTGTGCAGGAAGGATGGGTATGTGGGGCAGGAGGTAGGGGGCCTGGCGGAGGCTGGCCCAGGAGGGTGGGAGGACTGGAGAGATGGACCTGAGCTAGAATTGCAGGCTCACGGGCTCACTGACGCTTGCAGCCGCCGGCAAGTGAGAAAATAGATGAGGCTGGTTGGGCGCAGGAGAGCAGAGAAAACGGCAGGGCCTGGGGTGAATCGGGGCACCCGCCCCATCGGGGTGCAGTTCCGCACATGCAGTCATCACTACCACATCTTCCAACATTTCCAGAGAAGCTGGAAATCCAAATTCTATAAAAATCCTTTGCATTTTTAAGGGTTTCAACCAGTTCTTTACCAGTGGGTGACAATTGTCTGTGGAAACCAAGGAGGGCCCACCCCACAGCCTAGGGGGCAGCTCTCAGGGAGGCTGGGAAACCAACCATGCCCCAAGGGTGGGGCAGGAGGGCAGAGCTTGGCCTGGGCATGGTCCAGGGGCCACAGGGCGAGGCAGAGTGACTGCAGCTTCAGTGTGTGCTGCGAGCTGTCCTGGTCACGCTGTCTCCCTCTAGACTGCCTCGTGGAGTTTGGCCACGCTGTGGCGGTCACCCTTCTGTGAAGGTCACACTTCCCGTCAGCTGCTGCTCCCTACTCTGGATTTCCACCCCATCCACGGCTGGCACCAAAATGAGCTGATGGTGTGTTCCCCCAGACTTCCTTCCACCAGAACAGCCCTCTGTGCCTGAGCTGGTGACCTGGGCAGCTCAGTCAGACACATCCCGGCCCGCCGGTCCCATCCTCCATCCTCCCTCACCCCACGGGGGTCAAGCTCTTTCCTCTCTGCCACCTTAATGAGGAACAGTATTTTCTGATACCTGACAGGGTAATCATGTCTCTCCCCACCAGTCATGGGCAAATGTGTCATTTCAGCAGGTATTTTTGGGATCGGTTCAAAGGCACAGTGCTGTAAACACCACCTCTGCTAGCCATGATGTGTGACATGGACATACATGTAATTACTTCCAGCACACTCAGGCATCACCGAGCAGGTCCTCTCCCCAAAATAGAAGCCAGCCGGTTTCACAGCCTCACAGCATCATAGAGCTGAAAGGGCCCTGGGAGACTTTCTAGGCCAAGGGTTACAAATCAGATGCCCTGCAGAGCTGGCGAGTCACCTCGCCATGGGCAGCAGGCTAGGCGTGAGACCACAGGGAAGGGTGGAGCCTGTGGACCAGGGTCTGCGAGATCTCCCGGCTTTTCAAGAAAAGCCCAAACTCTGGACGTTTATGTAAAAGGTTGCAATTTTTAAATGTGACTAATTCATTTGGTTTGGGGTTCTTTGTTTTTTTGTTTGTTTGAGACAAAGTCTCGCTCTGTCACCCAGGCCGGAGTGTAGTGGTGCCATCATAGCTCACTGCAGCCTCAACCTCCACGGTTTAAGCAATCCTCCTGCCTCAGCCTCCTGAGTAGCGGGAGCTACAGGCATGTGCCACCACACCCAACCTTTTTTTTTTTTTTTTTTAGAGATGAGGTCTCACTATGTTGCCCAGGCTGGTCTTAAACTCCTGAGCCAGGGTAATCCTCCTACATTGACCTTCCAAAGTGCTGGGATTACGGGCATGAGCCGTTATGCCCAGTCTGGGTTCTTTTAACTGCACGGATCAAATAAAACCTGGCTCCCAGAAAGACATTGCCCAATTCCAGCCCCTCACACTACAGATGAGCAGCACAGAGGGCAGCAGCCCAAGCAAGGCCAAGGAGCACATGAGGGGCAAGTCTCTGACCTTGGTGCAAGCGCTTGGGACCCCACCCAGCTGAAGCTCCTACAGTTTGCTGAGTTGAGGTGCATAGGTCACTACAGAGCCCACTCTACAAAATGCCCTAGGTCCCAGGAAGAAGTGCTCCAGGAGGAACATTGTGCCACCCTCAAGGCACCAGCAACAGCTGGGCTGAACCTAACTTTGAGGGTCTTTTCTTCCTTTCCCTAGCACAAAGAATTTGAGTTTGGGAAATTGCTAAGCCCCGGACAGTCTTGCTGCAGCCCATGTGTGTACAAAGAGCCTAGGCTGAGAAATCAGAACCGTATGGTGCTGACCCGCCCTGAAGGGGGCTGCCCACCCACCCCTTATCCACCAGCCGGCTCTAATGAGAGCTGGGAGGAGGCTCAGGGAACCTTCACACAGGAATGTGCACTTCCCAGGCTGGGACCTCAGGCCCCACCAGCCTTGTAATTTGATGAATTGTCAACATCTGGGGTGTAATTACTAGGTCCTGGCCTGATAATCCTGGTAAGCCCTTCTTCCAGGGGCCTTGTCCTAGTGCATTTTGAGGGCTCCGTTCCCTCACAGGAACCGTCAGCATTAATTACAGCCAGAAAGCAAGACAGGCCCCCAGCTCTGGCCGATTTGAGCGTTTACTCCTGTCTGCTTCTAAACGCGGCCAGTTTATTTGTTTGGTTCAGTTCAGCAGATGCTGGAGCCGATCTTGGGGAGTGCTGGGCCGCAGTCAGGAGGACAGGGCCAGCCCTGGACCTTTCCCTAACATAGAGCAAGAAGAGCAGCACAGGCTTTTCCCGGCAGATGAGCATCAAGACACTCCAGGGATGGAGCCACCATACTCCACATCCCGAATGTACTTCACCAGGAAACCTCCCCTCTGTAGCCACACGGTTATAGGACCACCAGTTTCAAATGCCCGCTGCGTTAGTACCAGGCCAATTACACTGAGACAGCAGGGTTTGCTGCAGAGAAAGAGTTTAATGATTGCAGGGCACCCAGCAAGGAGATGGAGGAGACCCTCAAATCCATCCCCCCAAGGAGTTCTGGGCCAGGGTGTTTAAGGGGATCATGGAGGGTGAGGGGCTGGAAAATTGGGGTCATTGATCGGTCAGGACCGGGGGGCTGAAATCAGCAGGATGTGGAGACCGCACTCCGGTGAATCAGCTCCCGTGGGATCCTTCCGACCAGCTGACTTTGTAGTTTCACTGGTGTGCAGGCTCTGAAAGAGTAGGGAAAAGGTAGTTTTTTACGTTCAGATTGGTATCTACGGAGCAGTTAAGGGGAACCATGACCCTGTAAGAGAACCTGCGCGATTCTGAGGCAGCAGGAAAACAGTTCCGAGAAGGGGTCAGGGAGCACGCTGACCTCATGATGATGCTGAGTGTGCCACAAGCTTGGTTTATTTTTGTTCCTCCCCCTCCCTTCTTCCCTAATTAACTTTATAACGTTTATAGGGCTGGTTTCAACACTTGTTAATATGCCTCAAAAGATGGCTCTGTGAACCCGGCTTAGGAAATACGCGACAGGCCGAGGGAGGGAGAGAGCAAAGCCTCAGCTTCACAGGTGGCAGAGCTGGCGGCACCGTCCAGGGTCCTGCTGCCGGCCTCTTGGAAGGCCACACACGGGTCGCTCCCAGCACTGTCCCCCAGGGCCAGGGCAAACCCTAATCCAGTGTCTGCTTGCCCGTGGGGCTTCGCATCTTGCATTGGTCTGGGAAACAAAGGCCACTGACCTGGGACCCAATTTGAACTTGTTGTTTGAGAGGAGAATGGCATGACCTGCATTTCACAAATGAGGAAACTGAGGCTCGGGGACACCCCAGTCCCTGAGCAAAGCAAGGGACTGAGGCAGCACCAGGGCTGGGGGAGGGCTGCCCATCCGGGGTCCCAGGACAGGTGGCCGCCTGGCCTGCTGCTCATGTGCAGCCCAGAGCTTTGTTTGTTTCTCACACATCCGGAAACATCCCGGAGCCCGGCTGATCTCCATGGGGAAAGAGTGATTTAAAGCAGAACCAAGGCTTGTAAACAGCTGTGGGGTTTCTCAGAGGGCAGAAGGCGTTGAAAACCTCTGGTGGATTCAAGGGCTTTGATCAGGCAGGGGAGCGAGCTGGACAGTCATGAGCATCTCCAGGCACAGTGCTGTGGCATCCATAGATGAGGAAGCTGAGGCTCAGAGGAGGGATTTGAACCTGGGCCCTGCAAGGCTGAGCCCTGGCCTTCGCTCTGTGAGCTGGTGGTAAACCTCCCCGAGCTACTTTCCTTCCCACTCCTTCTGTGGGAGATGCTGGGAGAGGAACGGGGCAGCTGATGGCCGGTGCCCTATTGTCTGGGGCAGGGGAGGGCTGCCTAGATAGGGGAGACCCCCCCCACACCCAGCCAACCACCACCCAAGGCATGCCCCCGCCCAGTCTGGGGCTCTGCCCTTCCAGACCGCCCAGCTGCTCAGAACAGCCCTCATTCTCCTCAGAAGGACTTCCCTCGGGCTTAGACACTTGGACACTTGCCCTGCCATGCCTCTGTCCAGCCTGACCACGCCCCCCACCCCATGCATTCCTTGGCTCCATTCAGACCAGCCCCAGGCCCTTCCCTGAGGCGCTTGTCCTCCTCTCAAGAGCACCCAGAGCCAGGCTCAGCCCCCACTCCACCAGTAGAAACACCTGGTTTGTAGATGGTCTGCACAGCCTCACGCCTCAGTTGCTTTGCGTGACTCAGCCAGGCACTGAGTGCATTGAGGCTGAGTCCACTGAGCCCATTGCAGGGGTGGAAGGAGCACTGTCCTTTCAAAGACCCACAAACTAAAATGACGGCTCAGACAGCCCTGCAGGAAAGAAACCTGTTCCGCAGAGTGTAACCCAGTGTTTCTCAGACTTACTCAACCGTGGAATCCCTGTCTCCAGGCAAGCCTGTTGGCACCCTGCAGGGCAGTGTGCTGTGGGACACCAGTTTGGGAAAGGCATTCTGTAGGGTAACTGTGGGCAGGGTCCATCCCCTGGAGGTTCACAGCCCAGGGTCCTCCGGCCCAGAGGGCTGGCCCAACTTCCCCAGGACAGGAGGGGAGGTCAGAATCACATCCCCAAGCCAGGTAGGTGCATCTGACTCCAAAGCCAGGCTGTTCCTTCCCGGCCCACCTCGGAGTCCCCTCCTCAGTGACCATACCCACCCAGCAGCTTCTCCAAGGTCAGCCACTGCCCCACACAGAAAGCTCGGGGGCCTGGGGACAGCTTTCTTGCCCAGGTGTCATCCTGGCTGTGGGTCGGCTCTGTCCCAGGGGCTGGCCCAGCCCCGTCTGCTGTGTCAGTTTTCACACAGGGAGCTTCAGTGCCGGTGCAGGCACAGGCTCGGCTTCCGAGAATTGGACTTGACTTCCCTTCAGCCCTTGGTGGGGGCTCCCGGGAGCACTGCGCACACTGCACCCTCTGCCTCTATTGGGAAGCTACACACTGAATTCACTTGTAAAAACTCCCAGAGCTCTCTGATCACAAATACAGGCAGGGCGTTTGGTGTAAAAATTGGTTTTCTGTCACGGACGGGGCTTCTCACACATCAGAAAGAAGCCTCGGGGACCAAAGGCTGCGCCATCAGTGACCCCCCAGGAACAGTCCTAGCTTGACAGAGGGCAGCGTCCAGCTCAGGAGGCAGGAGGCCTGCAGCCATAATAAGGTCCAGTCGGTGGACACTTCCAGAAACAGCCGGCAGCACTGAGATGCTCCCTCTGGGGTTGAGGCCAAGGGGACAGCCTGGGCTCCCTTCCACGGGCACTTCTAGAAAGGCAGAGCCCTGTGGCTCTGCGTGCTTCACATCCAGGGGGCCTTGGTTGCAGGGAGGATTTAACAGAGGTTTCCGAGGCCTAGAGCAGGAGAGAGCGGCCGGGAGGCCAGACAGCACCGCGGCACGGGCCTGCAGTGCAGACAGGATGGAGACCCAGGGCCCAGACCTCTCCAGCTGCATGGCCCTAGGCAAGGTCTTCCCCTCACTGGGCCTCAGTTTCCTTCTCCGTAAGATGGGGATGATGACACGTACCTTACAGGGTTGCTGTGTGACTGAGACTGAGTGGGGGCCACGAAGAGCTCCTTGAAGAGACCCAGGAAGGACTGGCGGCCATGTGTGTGGGGTCAGGCCTGGGGGAAGGGTCCAAGGTGGGGATGCCTAGTGGGACGCGACCTTGAGGACACCCAGCAGGGCTTGGGTCGGGGGGTAGGGGGACAAGGGGCAGGGCCAAATTTAGTGTACTACCGAGGGCAGAAGGCCTGGGGGTGTGGACCCCAGGATCAGGACAGCCGGGAACTGGCAAGAGGACACTGTCCAGCTAGGGCAGCTCCTGGGAGGCTCATGGCAAGGACTAGAACTATGCCTGTGATGGAGGCTGAGGCCCTGACCCGGGGCCCCCAGGGCCTGAATCCCCAAGACTTTGGAATGCCCCCACTCCCACTCTCCTGGGACCCCAGCTGTCACCAGGCCATCACTCTGATGGCCAAACCCTCAGCGACCATGAGACTGGTGGCCAGAAGCCCTTTGACACCAATTTTTAGAACTGCCTGGTTTCCTGCTGCCAGCAAGGCCCTGGCCGCGAGCCCCACGTGGAGTGGCCACTCTCACACCGTCTGGGAATGGGCAGATGGGCCATCTCCATACGAGGCAGTCTGGAGGTTGAGCCAGGGAAGCCAGCAGCTTACCTCCTACCTGGCAGGCACGAGGCCAGCTCCCAGCTGTGTCCAGAACCAGAGGCCAGGAAAGTCTTCCCAGAGCAGGAGGCTGTCCCGGGGGACGAGCTGCCTCTTACCAGCTGGAAACGCAGGGAAGGCACTCCAGGCAGAGGGAACAGAGAGCCGAGGGATGAGGATGGAAAGGAAGCCAGAGAGCTCGGGACGGACAGGGGTGCAGAGTGACCAAATGGCTGAAGCTGGCCCTAACCACAGAGGACCCTGATGCTGGGCCTGGGAGTCCGTCCTCAGCCAGCGGAAGCCCAGAGAGGCAGGGACAGCCTGAGCGAAGGCTGCGTGAAGGCCACCGGTCAGGGGCCTATGAGAGGCACTGAGGTTAGTGCAGCCCCTCTGCTCCTCCACCACCTACAGGGTCCCCCATCCCGCCTTGGCCAGGCTGCTCTCTTTTGCTTACAGGGCCCTCCCCGCCCCCACACACACACTTGTTAGGTCCAAATACCCCAACGTTACTGTCGCCACAATGCGCCCTGCCGGCTAGGAGCTGGCAGAGCCTCTACCTCTCCACCTCTCCGCCTTCCCTTTCTACTGTGCAGTGCGTGCATTTGCAGCATTATCGTTCTTGCCATACTTCCTTGGTTTGACTTCGCACACATTTTCTGGGCACATGCTGCCTGCCAGGCCCCATCCAATACCAGAGGCACAGGGATTAGACCCTTTTCCTGACTCTACAGGGGAAGAGTTGTGCAGACCCTACATTAACAACAGGTCATGTCACATGCGACAGAATATATGTGGTGGGAACAGGGACAGATGGCCTGACTCTGGGAAGGAGAAAACCCTAGAAGGCTTCCTGGAAGAGGAGGTAACTGAGCTGAAGATGGACAAAGAAGGGAAGGATGTGCCCGGCAGGTGGACAGTGTGTGCAAAGGTTCAGAAGTGTGGAGCTGTGTGCATCGTTGCTGCGGCCAAGAGTGAAGTGTATGTGGGGGTGAGGGGACAGTGGTGGGGAGGAAGAGGGGGCTGACAGAGACCAGGCAGCCCTGGTCCCAGCATCCCTGCCAGCTGGATTCCTCCCCACTCCCACACGGAGGGGAGCTAGGCGAGGCTTTGTTGAGTGAGTGGTAGGTGGACAGGGGAAGGGGTGTCTGGCACGGGCTGCTGTGCAGCTGGCCCTCTGCAGACTCTGCAGGGGGCCTGGAGGTCCCTGAGTGCCCCCACTCTCTGGACCCACCCTGGTGTGATTCGGCTTCTCTCCAGCTTTACTGTTGTCTGCAAAGGCTGCAGCAATGTGGGAAGCTCAAAGAGCCTTCAAGACTCTGCCAGTTACAAATGACAGGAGCTCAATTCAAGCTGGCTTAGTGAAGGCAAAACAAAAGTATTGATTAGCTCTCAAACTGATGTGTGCAGGGGTAGTTTCAGCTTCAGGCCCTCGACGCTGTCTTTCTCTCTGTCTCTCAGCTCTGCTTTCCTCCCTGTTGGCTTATTCTCAAGCCATGTGGTGGTCCCTGGGAGCTCCAGGCTTAGCCCCATCAGAAGAAAGCCTCTAAAGCCCCACCATTAAGTCCCAGGCAAGATGCTCATGGCTCGCCTTGGATCCCAGGCTCATCGCTGACCCCGTCACCCTGGCGGAGGGAATGCGGTCACATGCCCACCCCAGCAGCCCACCCAGACCCCATGGGTTGAGATGGGGGGTGGTCTTTAGAGAAGAACTGGGCTCTCTTGTCAGAGGAGGGGATTCTGGGCAGCAGACAACACACAGATGCCTTCCCCTCCCTCAGCCCCAGGCCACATGGACTGAACCCAGACGCGGGGCTCCCACAGGCTTTGTTTTCTTGTCACTGAATAGTGCACCTGGGTCATAAGACATGGAGGAAGTGTCATCCCCGTGTGTAACCTGTGTTCTCTCTCTCTCGTTTTCCAGGGACCCCTGGGTTTGGATGGCAAGCCCGTAAGTGATGACAGGGCAATTCCAGGGGGTCCTGGGCTGGGGCTGCCACCGTGGGGCTAGGAGTGACCAGCAGGCACTGGAGGGAAGCAGCCACTGGAACTTGGTTCAGCACAGAGAGAAGCCTTTTGGGTGTCAGACTTGAGTTCAAATCTAACTCCACTACCTGCTGACGGTGACCAAGGGAGGCCTCCTTAACCTCCCAAGCCTGAGGCTTCTTGTCTGTCAAGTGGGCACATGAACCCCTCTCTCATAGGAGGGGTGGACCTATGGAAAACTGTGGACGGCACAGTCCCTGGGGTCTAGTCAGCCCTCAAAGCATGCGAGCACCTCCCAGCAGGCACAGGCACAGTGTCCTCACTACGTTCTCAAGACTGCCCTGGTGGGCATCAAGCTGAGTTCTCAACATCTGGGCCAGGAGCCTCAGCAGATGAGCAAAACATGCAGGGAGACATAAGCACAATTAAATAAGTAATTTGAGGTGGATGGATGGATGGGTGAGTCGGTAGATATATAGATGGATGGATGGATGGATGGATGGATGCTGACTGGATAGATGGATGGATGGATTGGTGGGTGGTTGGATGGATAGTGGATGGGTAGGTGGGTGGATGGATGGATGGATGGATTGGTGGGGGAATGGGTGGATGGATGGATAGTGGATGAATGGGTGGATGGATGGATGAATGGATTGGTGAGTGGATGGGTGGATGAATGGATGGATGGATGGATGGATGGATGGATGGATTGATGGATGAGTGGGTGGGTGGATGGATGGATGGATGGATGATGGATGGGTGGATAGATGGGTGGGTGGATGGGTGGGTGGATGGGTGGATGGGTGGATGGGTGGGTGGATGGGTGGGTGGATGGGTGGATGGATGGGTGGATGGGTGGATGGGTGGGTGGGTGGATGGACGGGTGGATGGATGGTTGGATGGATGGGTGGGTGGATGGATGGATAGATGGGTGGGTGGATGGGTGGGTGGGTGGATGGATGGATGGATACATGGATGGATGGATGGATGGATGGATGGATGGATGGATGGATGACTCATACAGGGATGGACAGATGGAACCCATACTCCAAGGAGCTGCTACCATTAAAGAAGAGAATGCTTTTTTTTTTTTAAGAAATAAGAAAGGAAAAAGAAGAAGAGAATGCCTATGGAGAGAGAATCTCTGTCTACTGCCTGCTTCTCAGATTCCAGAAAGATGGCTTGGGGGCAGTGGTCTCCCACTGACAATGACAGGGCGGGTGCTGAGCAGTAGGGAACTGACCGTGTGTGCTCTCTGGGAGGAGTGGCCAGTGCATGTGCCCCTTTCTCTGCTGCGAGGATGCCAGTGGGCCCTTGCTGGTCACCCGCAATTCCCCCGTATCCCTCATGCTGAGGACTGAGATGTGGAGCTTCCTTGGGCCAGCCAGGGCAGCTCTCATTGAGGGCTGAGAGCTCATGTGTAATTTTCCACTCAGCCGCCCAGCATCACGGGCCCTTCTGCCCTCAGAGGTATAGGGAAGCCAGAAGGGGAGCCAGCCTAGGCCCCTCACTCAGGTCTGTTCTTTCTCCACTTTCCTTTTCCAGGGACTTCCAGGCCCGAAAGGGGAAAAGGTAAGTGATGCCAGAGGCTGTGCAGATGTGGTAGGCAGGCGAAGAATCCCAGAAACCTGCCTCCGAACGCCAGTTCCAGTGTGCCCTTGAGCACATCACAGCCCCTCCTAGAGCCTCAGTTTCCCCATCTGTAGAGTGGGAATCACAGTGCCTACCTTCTAAAATGATTACAAGGCTTACATTTGACAATACGGCCTGCCCAGAGAGTTGAGTCTTGAGTTCTCCTGGGACCAAAGCATAACCAAACTCGGAGGCCCGGTGTTCCCAGAATGACGAGTGTCCAGAGGACTTCATGGTGAAGGGGGGTGCCAGGAGGGCTTGGGGATTGAACCATGACTGTTAATGGTATTCTCTGTGGGGAGGACACCCATCAGGAAGACAAGGCGGACAGCTATCTCTGCGGCCCCTTGGGAGGAAGGCTTCCTTGGTATCAGGCACTAAAGCCCCCTAGAAAACAGGGACCAAGTGTCTCAGAAAGGGACAGAAGAGACCTGTGTTACCCACGGTAAAATCAGGGGAGGGACCAGAGTAGGCCTAGGTGTGCCAGGGCCAGCCGGGTGCTCCCACAGCTGGACCATGTCCACCCCCGACCCAGAATTTGGAAATGGGAAGTGAGATCTGCAGATGGGCCCTGCTGTGATTCCGCAGCTCAGGCCAGGCAGGCAGGGTTCCCGCCCAACCACCAGGGCTGCGGGAGCCGTGGGGAGGCATGGGAGCTGGTGTTCAGAAGCTCGGCTTTGCATTCCAGCTCCACCACCAACTGTGTGACCTTGGCCAAGTTGCCGGGCTGTGTGGGCCTCAGTTTCCCCATCTGTAAATTAAGACCAATCTCACGGAGCCACAGGAGAGATTGCATGAGGTCATGGTCTCAATGTTCTTGTCAATGAAGAGACTAGTGCAGTTGGCAGGTGTCCTGATTACCTTCCTGCCGGCCTTGGCTGATGCCACCGTGTCATAGAAGTGATTCCATCAGGGGCTTTGAAACCAGAGAGAACTGGTGTCTTGGTGTCTATTGCTGCTTAATGCACTGCCCCAAAACTTGGCCGTGTAAAGCAACATTTACTCATTACCGTCCCTTCCAGAGGACACAGTGGGAGGGGCTGTCTCTGCTCCACAATGTCTGGGGCCTCGAATGGCTGGGGCTGCCCCCTAGATAAGGGGACACCTACCTGCCTTCAAGTCCTGGATCTGCTAGCTGTGTGACCTTGAGCAGGTTAAGTGGCCTCACTGTGTCTGCTTCCTCGTTGGAAATGGAAATAAAAATAGGGCCTGCCTGCTATTTTTGTTGGAATTAAGTCATACCATGTCTATGAAGCACTGGGCACAGATGCCCGACGGGAAATGTGAAGAAACGATGAAAGCAGTGGTGATGCCTCTCCCTGTCTTTTGTTCCCAGGGTGCACCAGGAGACTTTGGCCCCCGGGTAAGAACCAGGCATGACCTCCCTCACTGCCCACATGGTTTGTTTTGTGTAATAATGAGGCATAACTGGCGCTGCTTCTGGGTCCCAGCTCCCCGCAGCTCATCACAGAAAGAGGCCAAGAGGGCTCTTCCCCACCCATAGCACCGGTGGAAGCCCCCAGGGACCTGGGTTGTGGGGCTGCCCCTCTTGCGCAGGTGGAGTGTCTCTGGAAGACGGCCAGGTCTCCATGCTTACCACTGTGGATGCTGGACAGTGGGGCTGGCACGTGACCCCAGACTGGAGACAGCGTCCTGAGGACAGCTGGCACCCCAAAAAGAGGGAAGGCTCTGGGGTCAGCAGAACTGAGCTCAAAGCTCAGCTCTGCCACCTGCCAGCTGAGTGACCCTGAACAAGTCACTTTGCTCTCTGAGACTCAGTTTCTTCAACTGTGAATGGGGGAACAGCCCCCACCCCAAGAGGTTGTTATGGGAAAGAAAAGGTAGTGGGAGCCGCAGTGCGGAGAGCGGGGCTGCAGCTTGTGGTCAGAGCTGGCCGGGCGCCTGCTCCGCACCTCCGCGGCCCTGAGCTGTGAGCAGGAGCAGGGAAGGGGGCTGGCCAGGCCAAGCCCCTGAGCTGTGAGCACGAACACAGCTGCTCTGTGCCAGCCACATAAAGCTGGTGAGATTGTTCTGCAGTCAAAGAAAGGGCGCTCATGCTGAGTTTTAGCTGCTGAGAAAAATCCTTCTGCTTGCTTTCCTGGTGGGTGTGTGGAGCTGATATTCCAAAAGGGGATGCCCTCTCTTCAACAGACTAGAAGTCCTGAGGCCCAGAGGTCATGAAGAGTGGATCTCCTCCCAATCCCCCAACCCTCCTCGTGGATACCCTCCCTATGGTCCCAGTGTCCCAGTCATCGGGAACACCACCCCCCAACACACACACACATATGCGCACACACACACATGCACACACAAAGTTTAGTGGCTTAATGGCCGGGCGAGGTGGCTCATGCCTGTAATCCTAGCACTTTGGGAGGTCGAGGCAGGTGGATCACTTGAGGTCAGGAGTTTGAGACCAGCCTGACCAACATGGTGAAACCCCATCTCTACTAAAAATACAAAAATTAGCCGGGTGTGGAGGTGTGCGCCTGTGGTCCCAGCTACTCGAGAGGCTGAGGCAAGAGAATTGCTTGAACCCAGGAGGCAGAGGTTGCAGTGAGACGAGATGGCACCACAGCACTGCAGCCTGGGTGACAGAGCGAGACTGTCTCCAAAAAAAAAAATTTAAAAAGTAGTGGCTTAAGACTCCAATTGCCATTATCTCTCATGGCCCCTGGGTAAGGGTTAGGCTCTCTTGGGAGGTTGCAGGCAGCCAGGCCGGGAGCCCTGGGTGATGGCACCGTCACATGGCCGCAGGTGGCGTGGATGCTGGTGGGCGCTCAGCTGGTAAGCAGCCATCCTTGGAGAAGGAGTCTGCACACCTGATCACCTAACTGCCTTTCTCTGGGCTTGGTTAAGTGGCTTTGCCTCCAGGTTTCAAAAAGCCTTGTAGTTCTTCAGATCACCTTCCTGCCTTTCTGACCACACAACCTATCTGCTGACTAGATGGTTTTCCCACGGCTCAATCCGGGCTTTATAAGTAGAGACCATCACCTGTACAATCGCCGGATCCTCAAGGTAGACTGGCTGAGTGGGGGTCTGGACCTGATGGCTTGCTGTGTTACCCCCAACTCACCCCACGTTTGCAGGGTTAGACCTCAGCCATCCAATCCCTGAGGGAGGAGCAGGCAGGCTGGCCAGGAAAGAGCCTAAGAACCTCTCCCAGGATCTGCTCCAGTGTCAGGCCCATTTTCTGCCTTAATAAGTAGAGTCTAGGCCAGTAGTTCCCAGCCTGAGGCCCTTTATAAAAGGAGCAGCAGGGAGCTAAGGGGGTGTCTTCAAATTCTTCCTGCTTCAGTGCAAATTAAAACAGGAATCACCCGCCACCATCACCACCCATACCTGGTGACCTAACCAAACTGTCAGTTTTCTTTCCTTTCCGCTGGAGCTGTAATATTTTGATCAGGACCCTGGCCCTGCCAGACCAAGGGGAGGACCTGAGTGGTGGGTGTTGAGAACTTCTGCTGATTTTTTAATTGGGAAAGCAAGTGAATTTGTGTTAAGTGCAGTTTGCTAGAGAGGTGAGCTATATCAGATCAGGGAACATCTGTGGATGAAAAGAAGTGTCTCAAAGGGACCATGTGCCTTGGCAGTGAGAGGAGCCTCTGCCTTCCCTGGCTCTGTAACCCTGGGCAAATAATCCCCCACCCCAGCCATTCCTTCTGTAAAATGGGACAATAACAGTGAACTGGCCGGCTCATCACAAAGGTTGAATAAGATCATCTTCAGCGGGGTGCAGTGGCTCACGCCTGTAATCCCAGCACTTTGGGAGGCCAAGGCAGGCAGATCAGTTGAGGTCAGGAGTTCGAAACCAGCCTGGCCAACATGGTGAAACCCCGTCTGTACTAAAAATACAAATAATAGTAATAATAATAATAATCCCACCTACTCGGGAGGCTGAGGCAGGAGAATCGCTTGAACCCGGGAGGTGGAGGTTGCAGTGAGCCAAGATTGCGCCACTGCACTCCAGCCTGAGCGACAGAGCAAAAGACTCTGTCTCAAAAAAACAAACAAAAAAACATCTTCAGGATATCCTTGCTAGCTCAGTGCTAGGTCTTCCTTTCTTTGTTACAAGAGGGTTGGGAGCCACTGGCACCATGACCTGGGTGTACTCCATTCCTGTGGCTCTGCCCTGTGCGAGTGTAGGGTGGGCACTGCTGGGGCAGTGGGTAGGTGCCAGTCACAGTGATCTCCCTTCCTCTCGGGTTGGGCCATGAGGTGGGGCTCCGGCTGCCTGAGGTCTGACCCCAGTACTAACATCAGGTTCTAAAGTTGGGGATTTACTGCTGCATGAGAGAAACCATGTGGCCCTTCATCATCCTTTTTTTTTTTTTTACTTTTATTTTGAGATAATTGTAGATTTACATGTAATTGTAGTGAATAACACCTGTGTACCCTTCATCCAGTCTCCCCCAATGGTGACATCTTGCATCTCTGTAGTACAGTCTCACAACAGGAAATTGACAATGATACAATCCACCAACCTTATTCAGATGCCCCCACCTGTACACACACTCGTTTGTGTGTTCTGTGCAATTTTAACACACCCGTCGATTTGTGTAAGCCCACAAAGGTCCCTCATGCTGTTCTTTTGTAGTTACAATCACCTTCATCCCCCCATCCCTAACGCCTGGCAACCATTATGGGCTCTCCATCTCTTCAATGTTGCCATTTCAAGAGTGTTACGTAGATACAGCCACACAGTATTAAGCTTTGGAGATGGACTTTTTCCACTTAGCATAATTCTCCTGAGATGCATCTGAGGTGTTGCATGTGTCGTGCCCTGTTCCTTTGGGTTGATTGCTGAGTTGTGTTCCATGATGTGGATGTACCCCAGCTCCTTAACCTTCCACCTACCAAAGGACTTTCGGATTAGTTTCCAGTTTGGGGCTGTTACTAATAAAGCAGCTGTGAACAAGGATAAATGCCCAAGAGTGCCCCTCCATACTTAAATGAAGTGGGAGTTGACCAACCAGGAAGGTCCTTCAGGAGACACTCAGACCCCGTTCTAGAAAGAAGAGGGGGCAGCTGGACACACGTGCTGTCTCCCACATGCAGCGTGTGCCATCTCTCTCCTAAACACTGGATCTGGGCTTCAGGCGCTGGAGAGCTGGCACATTCCTTGGCATGTAAAGGGTCCTGTAGGGCCTCTTACACCAAGGTATGGGGACCTGTTCCTTCATGCAGCTCCCAATAAGTGGCAAGAGGCCCAATAACAAAGCCCTCCCCTTTGAGCCTGCCCAAGGGCTGGGGAAGGGGATGGCGTGGGGCTGCCCATCTGAGGGAGCCTCTCTCTGGAGGCTGGACCCCCTCCCCCTCAGAGTCATGCCAAGCCCCATCTCTTTCAGGGAGACCAAGGACAAGATGGAGCTGCTGGGCCTCCGGGGCCCCCTGGACCTCCTGGGGCCCGGGGCCCTCCTGGCGACACTGGGAAAGATGGCCCCAGGGGAGCACAAGGCCCAGCGGTAAGAGAGGGCATGGAGTTGGGCCACGCAGGACTTGACCAAAACCCCAAATCCTGATTCCAGAGCCAGCCCCATCCCCATCCCCATCTCTAGTGCAGACCCCACACTATCCTTAACCCTAATCCAGACACTGAACCTGGGCCCAAACTTAACTCCAACCAAGATCCAGCCCCAATTCAGATCCTGACCCTGACCCCAGACCCAAACCCAACCCTAACTTCAACCCAGACCCTTAATCCCATTCGAACCTTAAATCTAACACTAACTGGGTCTCTGATCCCAATCAAGACCTTGACCTCTAACTCATTCCCAAATCCTGGTCTACGCCCCCAATTCAGACCCTAACTCTGAACCTTACAGACTCTGACCCTGACTCCCAACCCAACTCTAACTTCAAACAGACCCAGAGACCCTAAGCTGACCTTAGTTGCAATCCCAGTCCCAATCCTGACTCAACCCTGAGCCTGAGACCCTTCTGGGGACACTGTCTCTGCAGACCTTTATCAGCCCCTCCCCTCATGCTCCCCAATAGTATCTCAGCCTCAGCTTTCCTCCCAGGGTCTCCAAAGTCTAGAGGCCAGGCCCCATCCTACTACCCCTTTCCCTAACCCAGAATCCCCAGCCTGTCCTTCCCTTCATTGTGGAGCCCATGCCACCACCAGACTGCCACCAGGGTCCCCCCCCAGTCAAATGGATCCCCACCAAACTGCTGCCAGATTCCCCCAGGACAGCTGCTCAGTTGGCTCATCCATTACTTGTCACACCGGGCCAGTGGCTTCCCCAGCCTAACATTCTCATCTGTGGAGTGGGGACAGTGATACTCGCTCTTCAGGTTTGGCGAGAATGAGATAAGATAATGTACTTAGAGCCCCAGCCCGGGGTCTGGCCTGAGATTTGGGCTCAGTTCAATGTGACATCCTGCATCCTTCACTGCTGTCCCCTCACACTTCCGCAGGGCCCCAAAGGAGAGCCCGGACAAGACGGCGAGATGGTCAGTATCCAGGGCATTCCAGAGGCCTGGGCTGCTAGGATCATGGTTCCCAGACCTGGAAGCCCCTTTCCCACACACGCCGACAGCAGGGTCACGCGCACATGTTTATGTGTGTGCGCGCGCCTCTGCATGTACGTGTCTGCATGTGTGTGGACCCCTGTGCACCTGCCCCTCCAGCCACCCTGGGGAAATGGCTGGGTGAGGCACCAGCCAGGGGGATTCCAGTAGCTCCACATTCCTGTGCGGAGGCTGCGGTCCACTTGCCACCACCTGAGCCCTAATGCAGAAGCTGTCCCAGGCTTGAGGAGTCAGGCCCAGGGTGGGCAGCTCCAGCCTGCTTCTGACGGCAGCCCAGCCTCCTGCTCTCTGGGATTGGTGTCACCTTTTACAAAGCCAGGATGCTAAGAAGGACAGGCCCAGGAGCAGCCTCCAGTATGACATTTAACACCTTCTCTTCTCTTGTTCCAGGGCCCAAAGGGACCCCCAGGGCCCAAGGTGAGTACTCCTTATTCCCCATGCCCCTCCCCAGATCTGGTGGGATGGACTCCCCCACCACCACCTCCACTTCCTGTCTCTTCCCCCCACCCCTAGTGAAGCCAAGGCAGCAGGGTCAGGAGATCAAATTCCTGGACCATGGGCAAGTTACTGCATCTCTCTGGGCCTCAGTTTAGTCATCTGTTAAATGGAGGCACAGTAAACCTTTCCTGCCTTTTTCACACTGAGTTGCGAGGGTTGAATCATAAAACACATTAGCCTTTTGGTTTCAAATAGATTTTCCTTTTTTTTTTTAATTTTCTATTCTTTTGAGGCAGAGTCTCACTGTCGCCTAGGCTGGAATGCAGTGGCACGATCACAGCTCACTGCAGCCTCCACCTCCTGGGTTCAAACAATTCTCCTGCCTCAGCCTCCTGAGTAGCTGGGACAACAGGTGTGTGCCACCATGCCCAGCTAATTTTTTGTATTTTTAGGAGAAATGGGGTTTCACCATGTTGGCCAGGCTAGTCTCGAACTCCTGACCTCAGGTTATCCTCCCACCTCAGCCTCCCAAAGTGCTGGGATTACAGGTGTAAGCCACTGTACCTGGCCCAAATAGATTTTATTTTTAGAACAGTTTTTGTTTCACAACAAAACTAAACAGAAAGTACAGAATTTCCATATCCCCCTCCCCCGCTGTGGACATCCCCCACTTGCTACAGATGACCCACCTGTGTGGACAGACCACCATCACCCAGATGCCGTCGTTTACATTAGGGTTCACTCTTGCTGTGGTACACTCTGGATTCGGACAAGTGTGTGTTGACAAGTATCCACCACTGTGGTGTCATGGAGTATTTACCCTGCCCTAAACATGCTCTGTTCTCCGCCTGTTCATCCCTCGTTCTCCCTAGCCCCTGACACCACTGATCTTTTATCTTTTTTTTTGAGATGGAGTCTTGCTCTTGTCGCCCAGGCTGGAGTGCAATGGCACAATCTCAGCCCACTGCAACCTCTGCCTCCTGGTTTCAAGTGATTCTTCTGCTTCAGCCTCTCAAGTACCTGGGATTACAGGCGTGCGCCACCACACCTGGCTAATTTTGTATTTTTAGTAGAGATGGGGTTTCACCATGTTGGTCAGGCTGGCCTCGAACTTCTGACCTCAGGTGATCCACCCACCTCAGCCTCCCAAAGTGCTAGGATTACAGGCATGAGCCACCGTGCCCGGCCACCACTGATCTCTTTTCACTGTCTCCATAGTTTTGCCTTTCCCAGAGTGTCATCTAGTTGGAATCAGACAGTGTGTGGCCTTTTCAGATTGGCTCCTTTCACTTAGTAATACACATTGACCTTTCATCCATGTCTTTTCATGGCTTGACAGCTCATTCCTTTCTAGCACTGAATGATAGTCCATGTCTGGGTTTATTATTTATTGAATGATAAGCCACAGTTTATTTACCCACTCACCGACTGAAGGACATGTTGGCTGCTTCCAGGTTTTGGCAGTTTTGAGTAAAGCTGATGTCAGCGTCCATGTGCAGGTTTTCACGTGGATGTGGTTTCCCACCATGTTAGCTTGTCCAGCCTCTGCAGATGCCAGCTCTTTCATTTTCGCCCTCTTTGGGGAGGGTGTGGGTGGGGAGGCGGGCTCTGGTCCTCGCTGACGGAGACGGAGCCTCTGGCCTGAGGAGGAAGGATGGGAAAGAGCTTGCTTAGCCAGCGCCTCATCCTCCAAAACCCTCTGAGACGGCAGGAGTCACCTCTCCACTTTCAAGAACAGTGCCTTGCCCAGGGTCATTGAGCTTGGGAGTGAGTGGCTCAGAAGTGGAATTCAAGACTGTCCGCCGCAGCTCTCTGAAGCATTCAGGGGTCTCTGGGCTGGCCCTGGGCACGGGTCATCAGTGCCACTTCTACCCGAGGAACAAGAGGTCCGGGGTCCGGGCCACTCTCCTATGGTTTTGACCTTGCTCTTGAACCCCCCATTGCCTCCCCCAGGGTGAGCCTGGAGTACCTGGAAAGAAGGTGAGAGGGGCCAATGGAGGAGCTTCCGGGTCAGTGTTGGGAAGTGGCTGGAGAGAAGGGCAGGGGCTGGGACGGAATGGGGATGGGGATGGGGACGGGATGGGCTGGGAGCCAACCCACAGGGAAGGCGGCCTTCTCTCCACCAGCCCTGAGCCCTCACTGCAGGTGGCTGCCCTGTCCTCGCTCTCCCTGAGGCCAGAATTCATTTCATTCATTCATTTATTCACTCACTCATTCTTTCCCTTCCTCGAACACATGAAATTCCTGCCCACTTCAGGGCTGGGGGGCACTAGTTCTCAAAGTGTGGTCCTGGGGCCCACCAGACCCACTGAATCAGAGACTCTGGGATGGGGCCAGAGTTTGTTTGACCAGCCCCTGGTGCCACTGATGTGAGCTCAAGCTTGAAAACACTGAATGAGCATTATCCTCCCCGGCCTCTTCTCCTGGGCCAGCCTCCTCCTTCACCTCATTCAGGTCTCAGCAAAACCCTCCTCCAAGGCCAGCAGGCACACTGGCTCATGCCTGCAATCCCAGCACTTTAGGGGGCCAAGACAGAAGGATCACTTGAGATCAGGAGTTCAAGACCAGCCTGGCCAACATGATGAAACCCCATCTCTCCTAAAAATCCAAAAATAAATTAGCCAGGCGTGGTCACAGGCACCTATAATCCCAGCTACTCTGGAGGCTGAGGCTGGAGAATCACTTGAACCCAGGAAGCGAAGGTTGCAGTGAGCTGAGATTGCGCCACTGCACTCCAACCTGCTGGGCGACAGAGTGAGACTCGTCTCAAAAAAAAAAAAAAAAAAAGACCACCCTGGACAATACACCAAGACCTCATCTCTACTAAAAATCAAAAATATTAGCCAGGTGCAGTGGCATGCATCTGTAGTCCCAGCTACTTCCAAGGCTGAGGTGGGAGGATCGCTTGAGCCCAGGAGGTTGAGGCTGTAGTAAGCTATGATTGTGCCACTGCACTCCAGCCTGGATAACAGCGCGAGACCTTGTCTCAAAAACCAAAAAAAACCAGACCCAGAGCGGTGGCTGACGCCTGTAATCCCAGCACTCTGGGAGGCCGAGGCAGGCTGATCACGAGGTCAGGAGATAGAGACCATCCTGGCTAACGCGGTGAAACCCCATCTCTACTAAAAATACAAAAAATTAGCCGGGCGTGGTGGCGGGCGCCTGTAGTCCCAGCTACTTGGGATGCTGAGACAGGAGAATGGCGTGAACCCGGAGGCAGAGCTCACAGTGAGCCGAGATTGTGCCACTGCACTCCAACCTGGGCGACAGAGTGAGACTCACCTTACAAAAAAAAAAAAAAAAAAACCTCTCCCATCTTCCAGGAGACCTTCCCTGGCCACCTGCTGAAACAAGCCCTCCCTGCAGTCCCTCACCACCAGGCCATCCTCTTCTCTTCTCCACTTCCTGACATGGTGCCTAGAATTGATTTGCATGTGTATATATATATATATATATATATATATTTTAAGACAGGATCTCACTCTGTCACCCAAGCTGTGATGCAGTGGCATGATCACAGCTCCCTGCAGCCTCAGGCAGTTCTCCCACCTCAGCCTCTCAAATAGCTGGGACTACAGGCATGTGCCACCATGCCCGGCTAATTTTTTATTTTCTGGTTTTTGTAGAGATGGAGTCTTGCCCTGTTGCCCAGGCTGGAGTGCAGTGGCTGTTCACAGGTGCCATCATGGGGCACTACAGCCACAAACTCCTGGGCTCAAGCAGTCTTCCCGCCTTGACCTACCAGAGTGCTGGGATTAAGGCGTGAGCCACAGTGCCAGCCAACCTCGTATTTATTTGAATATTTTCCTTGGCCTCCTCTGACCCCACCTGAGCAGGGACCTCAGCTGCCTGGCCCACAGGGGGAATGAATGGATGAATGTACCCTCATTCACCTGCCCATCCGTTCTTTCTGCAAATGCCAGCCCTGGGCTGGTGGGAACAGGGGACACACAGAGATGGGTCTGACCCCACACCTGCCCTGGAGGGGCAAGGAGGGTGGGGAGGAGCTGCCTGGTACCATGTGCCAGTGCAGATGCCAGGAGCAGACTGGTGTGCTGGGAAGTCCAGAGGAGGGAGGGGCCCACTGGCCACCCGAGGGTCTGACCGGCAAGCCCCAGGTGTCCTCTCCTCAGGGCGACGATGGGACACCAAGCCAGCCTGGACCACCAGGGCCCAAGGTGAGTATCTGCCCCTCCTCTCGTGGCCCCCTGCCCCCACCTCCCATGGTTCCCATCTACCTGGTGAAGTCCCTACCCTGGACCTTTGGCACCACGGGTTCCTAGGCCAGTGCCCAGCGCAGGCCGGAGAGAGGCAGAGGAAGGCCGCGGCCCCACCACACAACAGGCCCAGCGTCTCACCCGGGCCATGTGCCTCCCTCACTCCCTCAAGCCCTCTTGTTTCCATCTTAGGGGGCCTCACTCTCTGCCCTGTCCCCAAGCCAGGAACTGGGTGTCATCCTCATGCCTTGCTCCCCCAACCCCTCGCAACAGCCACCAAATCCTGGCCAGCCAGTCTCCAAAATGTCCCTTGAGCCCCTGCGCTGCCCCAAGTAAGTGCCAAGGCCCACACCAGAAGGTGGCGGCCGTGGTCCTGAGTCCCCTGGGCTAGGGAGAGGCCTGAGGTCCATCCGCCCACACCCCCCATGGACTCAGTAACAATTTGCCAGGAGGCCTAATCGCGAGGCTTCAGGCAACCCCGAGGCACGCCCCCCTCCAAGGCACCCGCCACGTGCCGTCTCACACTTGCTCTCACTGCAGCTGTGTCTGTTTCAGGGCGAGCCAGGGAGCATGGGGCCTCGGGGAGAGAACGGTGTGGACGGTGCCCCAGGACCGAAGGTGACATGAGAGCTCTCTGCTCTGGCGCCTGCGGGCCCCGCTCAGACCTCCACCCAGTCGGGAGTGGGAGATGTGGTTTCAGCTCTCATTTGCCCTTTTAAGTCCCAGGAGGGCCTGACCCAGGGGTCTCCCTCAGCACTCTCAGAAGCTGGTGTGGGGGCAGCGGTGGTGAATCTGGGTGAGTGGCAAGGCCTCCACTGGTGCCCAGCTTTGTGGCCAACTCACCATGCAGCCTCAGGCTCCTGGACACCAGCGTCCCCATCTCTATACGAAGTGATGTCAGAGGAGGGTCTCGCAGGCCCCTGGAGGAGCCCCGTTCCTGGAGTGCTGTTCTCATACATTTGGCTATTAGGGTTCCAGCACTCGGGCCCTGGGCCCTCCTGGGAAGAGGGGACTGGGGGCAGGGTCGTGGGAGGTGTGTTTTGGCTTCACAGCTGCACCTCTGGCTGCAAATGCATGTCTCCACAGGGGGAGCCTGGCCACCGAGGCACGGATGGAGCTGCAGGGCCCCGGGTAAGCTGCCGCCCCTCAGGCGAGGCCTCAGGGATGAGATCTAGGGGCCCCATAGCTTCAGAAGCCCCTGTCCCCACAGAGACCCCAGAGGAGCAGTGGAGCTACAGGAACTGGGAGTATTTTACTTTTTAAACTCATTTATTCGTGATTTTTGAAAATCCAGAGTACATGCTTTTTTGGGGTAAAATGTTCAAATATGGAGGTACAAAAATAAGAGTCCTGACCTGCTATTATGAAGCCAGATCTCTCTCGGTCCCCTCAAGCGCATGTCCACCTAAATTCCTTTCTTTATGTATTCAGACACAGGTCCTCTGTTTGTCGTATGCCTGATCCTGCCACAGTGGGCCAGGCCTTGCCTTTTCCCCACCCCACAGGGAGGTTTGTCCCTGCCACCAGGAGCACAGCACCCCAGCCTGCCCCAGATCTTTTGTGACCAGCCCCTATCAACATACCTTACCTTTAGGGTGACGTCCGGGATCCTGGCCTCGGCTCTGTCTCCTCATGCTCCCAGAGGCTGGCTTCTTCCTCCAAAAAAAATGGATCTGAGCCCCCGCCTGGCTGTGCAGGTGGTGGGGAGCGGGAGGGGGTTGGATTAGGCAGCCAGTGAGCCAGGCAGTTCTGGGCAGGCTGTGACTGGGGACGGGGGAGGGCTGGCAAATGAGGCCCAAGCAAGGGTCTCCAGCCTGCACAAGGGATAGGCTCGGGTCTGGACCAAAGTGCTCCCCAGCCTTCACTGTACCCCAAGCAAAGAGCAGCCTGGGTGGGGAAGTGAGGTTCACAAGGGAAGGGCTGGCCAGCAGCCATGCGTGCACGTGTGAGTGTGCACAATGAGTGTGCAGCATATGGACATGGGCATGCTGACATGCACCTGTAACCAGGCGGGAATAGGCGTGTGGGTGCTTGGCGTGTGCAGCCGCTCCCAGAGGCTGGGAAATGGAGGCACGGGGGCCAGATCCAGCCTGCTCATGTCTTTGTGTTTTGGAGGGTTTGGGGCTTTTCTGTTTGTTGCCAACATTGAAAAATCTGAAGAGCGTCACATCAAAATCAGGCTTTCCATTTGCCCCCGAGAACTCAGGGGTCAGGCCTGAATGCCCACGTGAGGGCAATTACAGCCGCCCCTCAGACCAGGTGGAAACAGGTCTCTCAGCTGGCCACAGGGCCTGCCTCCCGTTCCCTCCATCCACCCTGGGGAGGGGCATGCGTGCAGCCTGGGTGACGAGGCTCTTCCATTGCTTTCTCTCTGGATGTGATGCAGGGACAGCTGCCACTTCACCTCCAACTCAGTGTAGCTCTTCCCTGAAATTCTTACTCTTCTTCCTGCCTCAGGGTGCCCCAGGCCTCAAGGGCGAGCAGGGAGACACAGTGGTGATCGACTATGATGGCAGGATCTTGGATGCCCTCAAGGTAGTGTTCCTGGTGGGACCAGGATGTGCCTTAGATACGATTTTTCCTTAGGGAATAATCACTCCCTTTGTGATTAATCCTGCACTTTTTTACACAAGGGACCAGAGGCAGCTTAGCACAAAGACCCCGGCTGTTACTAGGCACCCAATGTGGAAATCAGGGCTATGTTGAGACCCGCCTCAGAGAGCCCCTGTGAATGTGGCCCACGTGGCCCCGAGCTCCCTAGAGGCCAAGTCAAAAAGGGAAGCTCCCCACTCAGGGGCAGGAGGCAGAGTATTTCCTGGGGTCTGTTCCCACCGGTGTCTCCTGGGACCTTCCCAGAGGACACTGGCTGGAGGGCTAGGTCTCCTAATGATGCCATGGGGAGGATGAGAGTGGCAAGCTCTGCCCCCAGAGCCTTGGGAGATATGTGACCTCCGAGCCCAGTCGCTGGTAAACTTGGGACTTACCACCAGTGGAGAGAGGCACTGGGTGCCAGCAGCTCATGGGTACCCCAGAAGGAAAGTGGGTGAGGAAGGAGTGGTCACCAGAGACCAGACTGGGAAGGGGGCCCTGGCCCCACCTGAACATCATTTCCAGTTATCTCCCACAGGCTTTGGGGAAGTACAAGTTGGCAGTAACTGTGGCACCCACCCCCAGGCATGCATGGTGTGGCGTGGCGTGGCGTGGTGTGGCGTGGCATGGCCCAGACGGCAGGCACATGCATGATGTGTCCCAGGCTGACCTAGCCTTGTGGGAGAAGCCCTGTGAGTGCAGGGAGTTGGGAGATGGACTTCGTTTTGTTTTTGTTTTTGAGATGGAGATTCACTCTTGTCGCCCAGGCTGGGTGTGATCTCGGCTCACTGCAACCTCCTCCTCCCAGGTTCAAGCAATTCTCCTGCCTCAGCCTCCCAAGTAGCTGGGACTACAGGCATGCGCCACCACACCTGGCTAATTTTTATATTTTTAGTAGAGACGGGGTTTCACCATGTTGGCCGGGCTGGTCTCAAACTCCTGACCTCAAGTGATCCTGCCACCTCAGCCTCCCAAAGTGCTGGGATTATAGGCGTGAGCCACCACGCCCAGCCAGAGATGGACTTTGGATGCCAGACTGAGATGCCGACTCAGTTTGATGGGCAGCGGGCAGCCATAGTCCATGCAGGGCATGATGTTAAAAAAATAAAAACACGGCCGGGCGCGGCGGCTCCCGCCTGTGATCCCAGCACTTTGGGAGCCCGAGGCAGGTGGATCACGAGGTGAGGAGTTCGAGACCAGCATGGCCAACATAGTGAAACCGCGTCTCTCCTAAAAATACAAAAATTAGCCGGGCATGGTGGTGCGCGCCTGTAGTCTCAGCTACTCGGGAGGCTGAGGCAGGAGAATCACTTGAACCCGGGAGGCAGAGGTTGTGGTGAACTGAGATCGCACCTCTGCACTCCAGGCTGGGCAACAGAGGGAGACTCCATCTCAAAAATAAAAAAAAAATAAAAAATAAAAACATATTGGGGGAAGGCTAGCTAGGGAATGATATGGACAGTGAATGAAAGCAGGTGTTGGAGCAGGGAGCAGGGGGACCCCAGGCAGGGAGGTCCTGGGCCTGGGCCTGGGGGAGGGTAGATAAGATGGAGGCCAGGGACATCTCAATGGGACACCAACAAGAAGGGCACAGGATAGGGAGGTGGGAGGGGAGAGACCTAGAGCTTCCGGGGCAGGGGTGGGGCAGGGGCTGGGCAGGGTGCAGTTTTTCAGAAGGGAGGGGAGGAGTGTGGAGGCTGAGCAGGGGGCCAGCTGGGCCCTGGTGGCAGGTAGCCTGCAGAAAGCCTGGATCAGGACAGGAGCTTGAGAGTGGGGTCGGACCTGGAAACACTGGAGACCCCACCCCTACCTGCGAGACTAAGGAACTCCCTAGGCCCAGCAGATGGCAGGCAGCAGAGCCAGAAGGTCAGAGAGCTCACAGGACAGTCAGAGACGGTGGTGCTGGGCCACCATTGGGGATGTCATTCTTGGCAGGCCTTGAATGCCAGCAGGGGATTTAAGCTTGCTTTGAGAGGCAATAGGGAGCCAAAGCAAGATCTTGAGCAGGGGAACATCGTGAAGAAATCTGGATTGGGGCAGAGGGCCGTCCATGGCAGCAGACACTGGTGTCTTGTCAAATGCTGGGTGTCACCTCCTGGCCTCCCCCAAGCCTGGGAGGCCAGATAAAGCCTTGCACAGTGTGGCCTGACCTGACTGGGGAAGAAGCAGTCCCCAAGGACCCTGCCCCTGCTCTGCTCAGCTGGACGGGGACTTGATTCCAGGTGGGGAGCTGGATGGGTAGCGAAGGGAGGCCCTGCCTAACCCATGACACTGACCGGCTTCACTCTCACACACAGGGGCCTCCCGGACCACAGGGGCCCCCAGGGCCACCAGGGATCCCTGGAGCCAAGGTCAGTGCAGATGCAGCTATGTGGTCCCCCAAGCATTTGTCTCCAGGGCCCACCTCCCTCTTCCTGTCTGCTCTGTGACCCTGTTCCACTTCCCTCCGGGTGTCCTGGCCTGGCTTCCGGGAGCTCAGAGAACGGGCCTGGGCTCCCAGGCTGAGTGCCTTCTTCCTGGGCTCGATCTACTCTGGGAGATTTCCCTGGGAAGCCTTATTCATACATTTAAACTGAAAATTCATGCAGCTATAAAAAGGAATGAAATCACGTCCTTTACAGCTACATGGATGCAGCCAGAGGCCATTATCCTAAGTGAATTAATACAGAAAAGAAAATGGGCTGGGCGTGGTGGCTCACACCTGTAAATCCCAGCACTTTGGGAGGCCGAGGCAGGTGGATCACCTGAGGTCAGGAGTTTGAGACCAGCCTGGCCAACATGGTGAAACTCTGTCTCTACTAAAAATACAAAAAATTAGCCGGGCGTGGTGGCACATGCCTGTAATCCCAGCTACTTGAGAGGCTGAGGCAGGAGAATCGCTTGAACCTGGGAGGCAGAGGTCGCAATGAGCCAAGATTGCGCCACTGAACTCCAGCCTGGGCAACAAGAGCAAAACTCTGTCTCAAAATAAAAAAAAAAAAAAAAGAAAAGAAAATGAAAGAGAGAGAAAGAAAGAAAAGAAAAGAAAACCACATACTGCATGTTCTCACTTAAAAGTGGAAGCTAAACATTGGGTACACACAGACACAAAGATGGGAATAATAAATACTGGAGATTCCAAAAGGGAGGAGCAGCTATGTGGTCCCCCAAGCATTTGTCTTATAGCTGCATGAGGACAAGGGTTGAAAAACTACCTATCAGGTGCTATGTTCACCCCTTGGGTGACAGAATCATTAGAAGCCCAAACCTCAGCATCGTGCAATCCCATGTGACAACCCTGCCCGTGTACCCCCTGAATCTAAAACTTTTTTTAAAGCTATAAATTTTCCTATAAGCATATCTGCTTTAGCTGCATCCTACAAACCTTGATAAGTTGAATTTTATTTTTATTCAGTTCAACATAATTTCTAAGCTCTCTTTTGATTTATTCATGGATTATTTAGAGAATACTTGGGGATTTAGAAATACTTGGAGATTTTTTTCCAGGTATCTTGCTTTTTTGTTTTAGTTTTTTTCATATTTAATGTATCCAGCTGACCAGATATTTTATTAATTTCTTATTTAATTATCTTGCGGCCGGGCACGGTGGCTCACGCCTGTAATCTCAGCACTTTGGGAGGTGGAGGCGGGTGGATCACAAGGTCAGGAGTTCAAGACCAGCCTGGCCAATATGGTGAAACACTGTCTCTACTAAAAATACAAAAATCAACTGGGTGTGGTTGTGCGCACTTGTAATCCCAGCTACTTGGGAGGCTGAGGCAGAAGAATTGTTTGAAACCAGCAGGCGGAGCTTGTAGTGAGTCGAGGTTGTGCCACTGCACTCTAGCCTGGGAGACATAGCAAGACTCTGTCTCAAAAAAAAAAAAAAATTATCTTGCGATTAGAGAACATACTCTTTTTTTTTTTTTTTTTTTTTGAGACGGAGTCTTGCTCTTTTGCCCAGGCTGGAGTGCAGTGGCACCATCTCAGCTCACTGCAACCTGTCTCCCGGGTTCAAGCAATTCTCCTGCCTCTGCCTCCCAAGTAGCTGGTATTACAGGCCTGTGCCACCAAGCCCAGCTAATTTTTATATTTTTAGTAGAGGGGGGTTTCACCATGTTAGCCAGGCTGTCTCAAACTCCTGACCTCAGGTGATCCACCCACCTCAGCCTCCCAGAGTGCTGGGATTACAGGTGTGAACCACCATGCCCAGCCAAAACATATTCTTTTTAATACAATATTGATCTTTTTAATGTATTAAAACTTGTTTTAGAGTCAAAGTGTTCTTTCTTGTTGAATGTTTTATATGCACACAAATTAAATGTATATTTAGCTGCTGTTGGGGGTAGTGTTTTATAAATATCCACCAGCTAAAAATAAAGAACTGAAAACCCAGCCCCTGTGACAGCACACCAGTCTGGCAGGTGGACAGCTTGCACACCCTGTGGCCTGCACCATTCGTTTGCATCCTGCCCATTTATCTCAAGAGAAAGAGCCAACAACTTTGAAGTCAGGCAGATCTGGTCCCGGCATCGTTGTTCCTGGGCTCTGTGACCTGAAGCAAGTCACTTAACCCTCCAAGCCTCAGCGCCCGAATCTGTGACATAACAACTTACAGGTGATAGCCATGGGCTACATCTGCTCGTGATGGGCTGAGGAAACAGAGGAGGCGGTGGGTCCTGGCACAGCTAGAGGTCCAACTGCAAAGACCCACCCTGGGCCGGGTGCACAGTGTGTCCTGGCCCTCTGGCTGCTGACACCTCTTTAGGAAAGGAAGGCATAACCCCTCTTGCCATCTCTTCCCTTCCAGGGCGAGCTTGGATTGCCCGGTGCCCCAGGAATCGATGGAGAGAAGGTCTCTGGGCCTTTCATTTCCTTGGTGATGCCAGTGCCTGGTATTGGGCTCTGTGTGTGTGTGTGTGTGTGTGTGCGTGTGCATGTGTGCACAGAGTTAGAGAAACACCATGTGTGAGAAAATCAAAAATCATGGATTTTGGCACCAGGCTGCCTGTGTGCAAACCCTGGTCTGCCCTCCGGCCCTGGGCAAGTTGCCTGCTCTCAGGCAGGGCTGAGTAACTCTGTGTATGGAGAACACTCAGTGCAGTGCCTGGCATGTGGTGAAAAGCCACAAAGGCTAAGAGCATTGTAGGTATTGCCCCAATTCGAGAGAGAGAGAGAGAGAGAGAGAGAGAGAGAGAGTGTGTGTGTGTGTGTGTGTGTGTGTGTGTGTGTTATCCTATACAGACGTAAGCATATTCGTGGGGTCACTTGCTATTCGAGGGTGAGTCTTTCCCACTGGGTCCGCAGTGTGTGTCTCATCCTGGACATAATGTAATTGGTTGAATGGAGGGATTCGGTGGCTGGAAGAGTTTGTGGGGGTGGGGAGTCCCACCACTAGCTTCTGAGATGTGAGCACAGAGCTGGCCCCATGAGTGCCCCCAGAGGGGCAGCTCCAGGCTCACATGATCCACCCATCTGCCCCGGCCCCTGCCCTGCGGTGCCCACACCCGGATGCAATGAGCCAGGAGTGGCGTGCCCTAGCCCCACACCCACTGCATCCGGGTGAGGCTCCCAGCCACTGTGGCTGGAGGTGGGGACCCACAAAGAGAAAGTGGGGCCCTAGCATGAACTAAGCTCTGGGGACCTGCTGGGGGGAGAAGGGAGGGGACCTCCTGAGCCCCACTCATCCCTTGTGCTTATGGCTTTCAGGGCCCCAAAGGACAGAAAGGAGACCCAGGAGAGCCTGGGCCAGCAGGACTCAAAGGGGAAGCAGGCGAGATGGGCTTGTCCGGCCTCCCGGTATGTGGCTGGGTTGGGCCACACATTACGCCTCCTGTGTGGAAGCCCTGAGGTGACTGTGTGCCCCCCGTGCTGTGGGGAGGCCAGGGCGTGACCCTGACAGCCCCTGCGGTCTCAGTGCCCAGCCGGCCGGGGACACTCTAGGCTCTGGGCCAGCGCTGTCCTCCTCTCTCCCGGCCTCCACTTCCTCGTCTGGAAGAAGCCTTCCACCTGCCTCAGATGGCAGCTAAAATCAGGAGCTGTGGCCATGGGAGCGCGTTGGCCAGGTGGTTATGCCACGTGCTCTGACCTAAACTGCCCAAGTTTGCATCCAGCTCCGTCCCGGCTGACTCTGGAACCCTGGGCGAGCAACCTAACCTCCTGGGGCCTCGGTTTCCTCACCTCCAAAGTGGGGGTGATCATTCCCCTCCCTCAAGGGCATGCGTGGCTGGGCTGACAGTGGTGGCTGGCACACAGCAAATGCCCACTGTTGTCCTCATGATTTTCGTTGCTTTTGTGGCCCGACTGGAAGAGCCACCAGCTGTTACGCCACCACTGGGACACTTCCAGTGTCCATCCCTGATGGTCACTGGGCTAGAGGGGGCACTGGGGTTTGACCCCGGGGTCTTTGCTTCACAGCCCCCGGTTGCTCCCTGCACCCCAGGAAAACAATGTGTGCGGCTGCTCGTGTGCTTTCTAAAGCCCACACTGCCCACCACCCGGGGCGTGGCACATGGATGTAGGGAAAACTTTTCAGTTGCAACAGCTAACTGATGACTGCTCTCAGGAGCCACATGGGGGAAGGAAGGGAGGTCACTAAGCACCGTGGGTGGTGATACAGGTGCTGGACACAAAGGACTCACAGGCCATTGCCGTCCTGCAGGGCGCTGACGGCCTCAAGGGGGAGAAGGGGGAGTCGGCGTCTGACAGCCTACAGGAGAGCCTGGTAAGGGGGTATGGGGGGGTCAGGGCTTCCCCCAACACCCAGTCCAGGCTGGGTGGGGACCCTGAGCCTTGGGACAAAAAGGCCACCTGGCCTGAGCAAACCCAGGGCAGTAGGGGAGGGAGAGTAAGGGGAGCGAGACCCCTCTGAGAACAGAGTCTCACCATGTCTCCCAGGCTGGAGTGCAGTGGCACAACCTCGGCTCACTATAAGCTCCGCAGACCAGCTGCCACCTGCTCACCAGACTCTGCCCTCTGGGGGGCAGGAAGGAGACTCTCGATCCAGCAGTGTGCGATGAGCTCGGGTGCGGGTAGGTGAGGGTGACAGGCGGTGGGTGACTAACCTGTCTCTCACCCTCCCTAGGCTCAGCTCATAGTGGAGCCAGGGCCCCCTGGCCCCCCTGGCCCCCCAGGCCCGATGGTAAGGACGGTTTGCTTTGGTTTGGTTTGAAGCAGCCAGGAAACCAAGAGGCGGGGTGGGGGCTAGGTCCCAGAGCCATGACCCAGGAGAGAGCGGGCTTCTTCGTTCAGGGAGGGGCACATGGGCAGAGGGCAGAGCCCAGGACAGGGCCCCAGGGGCCAGTGAGTGGCCACTGCAAGAGGGTCCGGAGCCAGCCTTCTTATCTGCTTCCTCCTCCTGCAGGGCCTCCAGGGAATCCAGGGTCCCAAGGTGAGTGGGCACAGACCCCTCTACTGGCCTCAGACTCACCGTCTGGGCAGTTTCCAAGAGCCTTGCCAATGGGCAAAGCAAAGGGCCTGACGCTCCGCCCTGGCCCATCCCTGAGTCTTCCCAGCGCCTGAACGTCCCAAGTCCCCAGGGCATAACCTCCCCGATGTCGTTGAGGCCAATGCCCCCCTCTCCACCCTTGAGGCTCTCCTCTCCCACTTTCTCCCTCTGCCCGGGACCCCAGTCTGTCCCTCTCTCCTCCTCAGGTCCACCACCGTTTCCACTGCTTGTCCCCTTCTCCTTTGTCTGTGCCTGTCAGTTCCTTGCACTGTCCCCACCTCTCCCCATCCCAGCCCGCCCCACACACATCTGTCTCTCAGCTGCCACAGTCTAAGCACAAAGTCTTGGGCTTGGTGTATATTACATGATGGCGTGTTCCCTGCTCTTACGTTAAGTCCTCGAGTGTGGCCTGCCTGCATGCCCTGCCCCAGGGAGGCAGACACAGAAGGGGAGGCCACCTGGCCTCACTCCTTGTCACACCACCCTCCTGGCGTGAGCAAATCTCTGCTTCCCCAGCTCAGAGGCCAGATGTGGGACTGAGAATCGTGGAAGCCCAGGCCCGAGCCTGCAGCCCCACCAGGTGCTCTGCTTCTGGTTCTGCTTTCTCTTAAGGCCACCACAGTTCATGTTTCAAAGAGGCAGCTGCTATCAGGACAGGGTCCAAGGCTTGCCGTAGAAGCCTGATGGGGACCCAGCTCTGCTGCCTCCCGCTGTGTGGCTGGGCCTGTCCCCCCCCCCCCGCCCCCCGTCTGCACCTGCTTTCCTCATCTTTGGAATGGGTGTGACCGTAATCACCTTCCATGGGGCTGAGGGAGCCTGTTCTGGAAAAGGCGCAATGCGCATGGCCAGAGCTCCTCCTGATCACCCTCACCAGGGAGTAAGCTGGGGCCAGGCCTGGGGGAGCCTCGATCTGTTCCTCTGTCCACATCCCAGCTCCCTTGCAGTCTCCAAGCTTGCCTGTCCTACTGTCTGTCTAACCCCTTCCCCTTGACTGATTTCCCTCCTTTGCCTCCAGGGCTTGGATGGAGCAAAGGGAGAGAAGGGTGCGTCGGGTGAGAGAGGCCCCAGCGGCCTGCCTGTGAGTCTCACAAGCGTTGTTTGTCCCAAAGGTGTTAATTCCTGTCACTAGCATGCCTCTTGACTCATTCCTTTTCTATCCAGGGGCCAGTTGGCCCACCGGGCCTTATTGGGCTGCCAGGAACCAAAGGAGAGAAGGTAACCGCCTCATTCGGAACTCCCTCTCCAACCGTGGCCACCTGGTCATGGTGGCGCTCAGCCCGGGGACCCCAACCCTGTACCTCACTGGGTCCCTGCACTTCGCAGGGCCAGAGTTCAGGCTCTGTGGATGCCAGGTCTGTCCTGGCCTCCATCTATGCCTGCGTGGTTGGTGGGTCTCCTTGCCCCCATGTCTGTGGCCAACCCACAGGGCTGGACTTCCCAGCAGCTGTGCTCCCAGCACCCCTCCCCAACCCCTCTCACCCACTCTGTGTCTCTCCTCAGGGCAGACCCGGGGAGCCAGGACTAGATGTAAGTGTCTTATCATCACTTTGAGTAATTGGGTGCCTCTTGTGTGTATCTTCTGCCCTCATGCAGTAACCTGATCTGGCTACTCAAGTGTGACCCCTTTCCCCAGGGCTGGGACTGCAACTGACTGGTTCCCCCTGTGTCCCCATTGCCAAGTCCAGTGCACGACCCAGAGTAGGTCCTTTGTGGATAGATGAATGGATTGTTGATGGATGGATAAATGGATGGATACATTGGTAGATGGAGGATGGATGGACAATGGAGGATGAATCGATGGATGGATGAATGCATAATGCAGGATTGATGGATGGATGGATAAATGGATGGATGGGTGGATGGATGGGTGAATGGATGGATGAATGAATGGATGGATGGGTGAATGGATGGATGGGTGAATGGATGGATGGGTGATGGATGAGTGGATGATGGGTGGGTGGATGATGGGTGGGTGGATGATGAATGGATGATGGATGGATGGGTGGGTGGATGGATAATGGAAGAATGATGGATGAATGGATGGAGGATTGAATGGACTCATCCATCCATTCATCTATCTATCCACTATGGATGGATGGATGGATGGATGGATAATAGATGAATGATGGATGGATGGATGGATGGATGGATGGATGGATGGATGGATGATGATGGCAGTGGAGGGATGGATGGATGGATGATGGATGATAGATGATGAGTGGATGGGTGGGTGGATGGATGGATGGATGGATGATAGATGATGAGTGAATGGATGGATGATGATGGCAGTGGAGGGATGGAGGGATGGACGGATGGATGGATGATAGATGATGAGTGGATGGATGGATGATGATGGCAGTGGAGGGATGGATGGACGGATGGATGGATGATAGATGATGAGTGGATGGATGGATGGATGATAGATGATGAGTGGATGGATGGATGATGATGGCAGTGGAGGGATGGATGGATGGATGGATGATAGATGATGAGTGGATGGATGGATGATGATGGCAGTGGAGGGATGGATGGATGGATGGATGATGCATTGTAGCAAGGAAGTGAAGAGAGCAGTGAGGAGCCTGTTGCAATATCCTGGTGACAGATAATAGGGCTTTAGCTAGAGCAGTAATTTGAGAAGAAGAGGAAGGGAAGTATTAGCCCAGGCTGATTATGTCAAGTCTCTTCTGGTAGCATACATAGAAAACATAGTTTAAACTGGCTTAAAATTACTCATAACTGAAAAATCTGGAGGTTCAACACATGGATCCAGGGCTCAACTGTGTCAACACAACTCAGCCTTTCACCCTGTCTTGTCTGCTTTCCCTGTGGAAATCAAGTTCCACGTGGTGGTGAGGTAAAGCCAGCAGCTCGAGACCAGCATCCTGCCAGGCCCAAACTAAGAAGAAAGAAAATTTGACTCCAGAGTAGAACTCCAGTGTTCTACAGGAAGTTTCATGGGCTCTCCCTGGTCCCAGTTAGGTCAACGCTGAACTGTCACTTAGCCATAGGAATGCAGTGCCCTGACTAGTGAGACCATGGACTGGGGTGGAATCAATGGGTTATGAGAAGGAGGTTGTTCTCAGGAAAATCAGGTAGCTATTTTGAGGGACATAGGCCCAGATGCAGGGCTGCAAGGACTCTGGTGCCCACCCTAGACTTTAAAAAGAGAACATTACCGGCCAGGCACGGTGGCTCACACCTGTAATCCCAGCACTTTGGGAAGCCGAGGCGGGTGGATCACGAGGTCAAGAGATAGAGACCATCCTGGCTAACACGGTGAAACCCTGTCTCTACTAAATATACAAAAAAAAAAAAAAAATTAGCCAGGCATGGTGGCGGGTGCCTGTAGTCCCAGCTACTCAGGAGACTGAGGCGGGAGGATGGCATGAGCCCAGGAGGCGGAGCTTGCAATGAGCTGAGATCGTGCCACTGTGCTCCAGCCTGGGCAACAGAGTGAGACTCCGTCTCAAAAAAAAGAACATTACCTGGGAGAGCAACTGTGGACGAGGGAAAGGAAGAGCTGTAGCTTGGGTTTCTGACGGGGGTGCTGGGTTCCATCAATGGGAAGGGATGGGAGAGGACAATGCTGAACCAGCTGCAGGCTCTGGGCCCAGTTGAGGGTGGAGCTAAGGAGACTCCATGCCACCATGAATGTGGCCACAGCTGCCTTCCAGGAGGCCTGGTTCTCAGGGTGGCATCTCAAAGCCATGCCCACCTGCTCTACCTGGCAAATGCCAGGCTCCTCCTCAACCCCAGAAGGCCCAACTATAATGAGGACCGTGCTGAGAAACTCCCCTTGACCCCCACCTGTGATAGAACAGCCCTTCCCTCCAGAATCCCACCACCCCTATTTCACACCTCTGTCACTGAGCATTGACTGTCATCAGCACTCTCTTGCCTGCCCCGTTACACGTGAACAAGGGACCATGTCGAATCCAATTCTCTTTTTAAAATTGTTTCTTTTTTTTTTTTTTTTTGGAGATGGAGTCTCACTCTGTCCACCCAGGCTGGAGTGCAGTGGCATGATCTCGGCTCACTGCAACTTCTGTCTCCCGGGTTCAAGCGATTCTCCTGCCTCAACCTCCCAAGTAGCTGGGACTACAGGTGCACGCTGCTAGGACGGCTAATTTTTTGTATTTTAGGAGAGATGGGGTTTCACTGTGTTGCCCAGGCTGGTCTTGAACTCCTGAGCTCAAGCAATCTGCCTGCCTTGGCTTCCCAAAGTGCTAGGATTACAGGCGGGAGCCACCATGCCTGGCCTCTTTGTTTGTTTTTTGAGACAGAGTCCCGCTCTGTCGCCCAGGCCAGAGTGCAGTGGTGCGATCTCGGCTCACTGCAACCTCCACCTCTCAGGTTCAGGCAATTCTCCTGCCTCAGTCTCCCAAGTAGCTGGGATTACAGGCGCGCATCACCATACTCGGCTAATTTTTGTGTTTTTTAGGGTTTCGCCATGTTGGCCAGGGTGGGTCTCAAACTCCTGACCTCAGGTGATCTGCCCACCTCGACCTCCCAAAGTGCTGGGATTACAGGCATGAGCCACCATGCCCGGCCACAATGAATCCAATTCTGTGTCCCCAGTGTCCAGCCAACAGCCCGGTTCCTAGTGGATGTTAAGCCACCTTGGTTGGGTGGACGGACAGATAGATGAATGGACAGATGGGTGTGCAGGAAGTTGAGCCAAGGGCACAGAACAGAGATCACCATTTCTCATCCCATCAGACAGTGACATAACTTCCATGGTTTCCGGGGTCTCTGTCCCCAGCCAAGCCTAGACCAGTGCCAGCCGCGTCTGTGATGTGAGAGACAGCCCCTTGCCAGCAGCTCTGCCTGAGTGTTGGTGTCCAGCGACTACTTTGGAGCAAGCCCAGCTGGCATCGTAAATGCATGCTCTTCCTACATCAGCCTTGTACCCAGCAGTGTATCACCTACAGCTAGGGCTAGGCCAGCGTGTGCCACGAATATGCAGGGGGGAAAGTGGGCGTGTGGATGGGAGAGGAACAGAGATGAGCCGGTAACAGAGGGGCAAACCTCCAGCCTCATTTTCGGGTTTAGCATCTAATCCTTTTGTCAGGGTTTCCCTGGACCCCGAGGAGAGAAAGGTGATCGGAGCGAGCGTGGAGAGAAGGTGAGGGCAGCTGGACGGGAGCTGGGGCAGGAGGAGAGGGGGAAGGAGGCAGGTGGGAGTGGAGGCTCAGGTGAAGCAGGTAGAGAGAACCCAGGCCGGGCAGGTGGGCGGAGGCAGGGGGAGGCTGGCCCCACGCGCTTCTCTCGGAGAGATGTTGGAGGTTCCTAAGCCTGGCAGCCATGACCAATACCACCATCTCCCCTCCTGCACAGGGAGAACGAGGGGTCCCCGGCCGGAAAGGAGTGAAGGGCCAGAAGGGCGAGCCGGGACCACCAGGCCTGGACCAGCCGTGTCCCGTGGTAGGTGTCGGAGGAGGGCCCTGCCCCAGGTCTTTTTGGCCTCCAGCCAGGGTCAGCCCAACATCTTCCCTGTCCTCGGAACTCAGCTGCAAGTCCCAGAGGCCCCACTGGTCACGCACTGGCCTTCCTCACTGTCAGGGCCACTGCTGCTGCTACTGCCATCATCGCGGTTCCCCTTGCTCTGGTCCTAACCACCCCCAACCATGGGCATGACTCAGGGAACCCAGCCCCTCTGTAGAGCTGGAGGCCCAGCCCCTCATTCTTCACCCCCAGGACAGGCCTGGCTTGAGTAGGAACCCACTGTGGGCCATCTTGGGCTGGAAGTGGACAGGGCCTAGACCAGGAGTGGAGGGGCTTTACCTGGAGTCATCAGCACCATCAGCGGTGCCCTGGGAGGGGGCTGGGCCCTGCGGAGGGAACCAAAGTTAGCACAGACACGCTGCCGCTGGGGGCGGAGGCAGTGAGTGCCCAGCCCCATCGCTGTGGTCTGGCTGCCTGGGGTGGAAGTCGGGGTCTGACTCCCACTGGGCCTGAGGCCAAGCTGAGCTGAAACTCAGCTTCCCCAAGCACAGACGGTGGGACCACCCTGACCTCTCTGGCTGGCTGTGCCTCCCCTTCCTTCCTCCTTCCCAGAAGAGTCTCTCTGGGCTGGGGCAGCACCTCCCTCTTCCCCACATCCCCTCTGCCTACCCCCACACCCTTCCTGTACCTCTTTCTGTGCTCTCTCAGTGGCCTTTGGCAGCCCACCAGCCCCAGTGGTTTCAGGCACTGGTGCCTGAAACAACCACAGTTCAAAAGTCAGCTCCATTTATTTCTTTTCGGAGACAGAGTCTCACTCTGTCGCCCAGGCTGGAGCGATCATGGTTCACTGCAGCCTCCATCTCCCAGGCTCAAGTGATCCTCCTGCCTCAGCTTCCCAAGTAGCCAAGAACTACAGGCATGCACCACCATGCCCAGCTAATTTTTAATTTTTGTAGAGCTGGGGTCTTGCAATGTCGTCCAGGCTGGTCTGGGCTCAAGCGATTGTCCCACCTTAGCCTCCCAGAGTGCTGGGACGACAGGTGTGAGCCACTGTGCCCTGCCTAGTTCCTTTTTCTAGAAAGTAGGGAGGGTTTACATGTCACACTCTTCCGGTGGAGCTCAGAAAAGACAGGAAAAACAGAACAGCTGGGTTTTCGTACTAAAACTGGACAGATATTCAGACGTGGCCACTCCAGCCACGGGGATGTGTGCAGGCCGGCCTCAACCTCCAGCGGTGCCAGAGTTAGAGACCCCCTCCCAGACCTCTGGCCTCTGTTCCTCAGTGTCCTTATCCCTGCAGTGGGGGATACCGCTCCCCTCGGACAGTTTTGAGAAGTCAATGAGAAAAGGACTTGAAGAGCGAAGTGGTCAGCGCACAGAAAGGGCGGGGACAGCAGGGGCAGGGTGGCCCAGCCCCGCAGCTCCGGGGCCTGGCCCAGGACTCCCCTCCAAATCAGTAAGCCCTTGTCTCCTTTGAAACAGGAGAATCCCACGTGCGGAGGCCGGAGAGGGGCACCAGGCTGGCGGGGCCCTGCGAGGGGCAATGGGCCATGCCCTGCGGTAGGCGGCCTGGCCTGCTGTGTGCCGTGTGCCGTGTGCTGTGTGGGCCTTCGGGGCAGCCAGGGCCCTTGGCTCTGCCCCGGCCTTCCTCGCTTCTGCTTCCTTTCCATTCTGCCCCCCTCCCCACCTTCCCTTTGGTGCCTAGCCTGGTCCCTGGTGTACACATGGGAATATTCCAGGGGATGCCCAGTGTCTGAGGCTCATTCCTGTGCTTTGGAACAGAATGACATGTTTTGCGCCTTGGTGTCCCTGATGAGTCAGTCTTCGTTCCTCTCCAGTTTCCCCACCCTCCAGGCTGCCTGAGGAAACCCGGCCCCTGCTTATGTCTGGCTCCTGGGTGGGCACCACAGGTGCCGCTAGATAGCCCTACCCCAGGCCCAGCCCCAACCCCCAGCAACCTGAGCCTGCCCTGCTCCAGCCAGCACAGGCTGGAGCAGGATGCCAATTCCTGGGCCATCCTTAAAACCCTCCAGGAGCCATTCCTGCCCAAGGCCTGAAAGCTCGCAGGCCCCAGGGTGAGGAGCCAGAGTGACCGTCACATCAGGCAGGAAGCCACACGGCTCTCAGCAGGACCCAGGCCAGAGTCACTGTCACATCAGACAGGAAGCCACACGGCTCTCGGCAGGACCCAGGCCAGAGTCACTGTCACATCAGGCAGGAAGCCACACGGCTCTCGGCAGGACCCAGGCCAGAGTCACTGTCACATCAGGCAGGAAGCCACACGGCTCTCGGCAGGACCCAGGCCAGAGTCAGTGTCACATCAGGCAGGAAGCCACACGGCTCTCGGCAGGACCCAGGCCAGAGTCAGTGTCACATCAGGCAGGAAGCCACACGGCTCTCGGCAGGACCCAGGCCAGAGTCAGTGTCACATCAGGCAGGAAGCCACACGGCTCTCGGCAGGACCCAGGCCAGAGTCACTGTCACATCAGACAGGAAGCCACACGGCTCTCGGCAGGACCCAGGCCAGCCTGTACATGTCTGGCACAATGCTCATCCCTTCCTAGTGCCCTCCTGTTCCTGCCCACTGCACAGCAGTCCCCACAAAGCACAGAGGGAACACACTCAGGACAAGCTCAGTGAGAGGCCGTCGTTCCCCATGACCCCATGACCCCACTACCTGGGTGGACAGAGGAGGCATTGTGCCCCTGCCTCAGTGGGGCCCAGCAGTCTCACATGGCCGCTCCCTGGCCTGCACCTCCCTACAGACCAGGGGAGGGCATGTGGGGTGTAGAGGAGCTCCCCAGGCCCCATCCCCATCACTGAAACCTTCTTCCTTTCCAGGGCCCCGACGGGCTGCCTGTGCCTGGCTGCTGGCATAAGGTACCGTGCAGGGAAGTCTCCAGGGCAGGCTTGGGAGAGGCAGGGGAGGGTGGGGGAATGGGAGGGCCCCAGAGCCTGGGTGCTGTCACTCAAACCTCTGGGTGTCTGCGGCTTCTCGCACAGTGACTGAATAGCCAGGTTTCCCATCATGACCCTGGTTTTGACTCTCCCATCTTGCATGTGAGGCGTGGGGCTGTGGTCCTGGGTGATGGTGTATAACCCATCCTGTGGGTCACATGGACTCAACTGACACCTGGACCAGGCAGGGCAAAGCCATCAGTGCCCCCTGGGATATTGTCCCAACTGGCCCACTGAGAGGGAGTGGGGGGAGGGAAGATAGGAGGAAATGGGCAGGACCGGGGAGGCCAGGCAAGGTGGCCTGGATGGGGGCGGAGCTTCTCGGGCTCCTCGTCACCTTCAGTCTCTTCCTCCTTTTCCAGTGACCCACAGGCCCAGCTCACACCTGTACAGATCCGTGTGGACATTTTTAATTTTTGTAAAAACAAAACAGTAATATATTGATCTTTTTTCATGGAATGCGCTACCTGTGGCCTTTTAACATTCAAGAGTATGCCCACCCAGCCCCAAAGCCACCGGCATGTGAAGCTGCCGGAAAGTGGACAGGCCAGACCAGGGAGATGTGTACCTGAGGGGCACCCTTGGGCCTGGGCTTTCCCAGGAAGGAGATGAAGGTAGAAGCACCTGGCTCGGGCAAGGCTAGAAAGATGCTACGTTGGGCCTTCAGTCACCTGATCAGCAGAGAGACTCTCAGCTGTGGTACTGCCCTGTAAGAACCTGCCCCCGCAAAACTCTGGAGTCCCTGGGACACACCCTATCCAAGAAGACCCAGGGGTGGAACAGCGGCTGCTGTTGCTCCTGGCCTCATCAGCCTCCAAACTCAACCACAACCAGCTGCCTCTGCAGTTGGACAAGACTTGGCCCCCGGACAAGACTCGCCCAGCACTTGCGGCTGGGCCCGGGGAGCAGTGAGTGGAAATCCCCCACGAGGGTCTAGCTCTACCACATTCAGGAGGCCTCAGGAGGCCAGCCTGCCATGAGAGCACATGTCCTCTGGCCAGGAGTAGTGGCTGAGCTCTGTGATCGCTGTGATGTGGACCCAGCTCCAGGGAGCAGAGTGTCGAGGATGGAGGGGCCCAGCCTGGACTGACTGCTACTTCCTGTCTCTGTTTCCATTATCACCCAGAGAGGGACAAGATAGGACATGGCCTGGACCAGGGAGGCAGGCCTCCCACTCAGAGTCTGGGTCTCACTGGCCCCAAGTCTCCCACCCAGAACTCTGGCCAAAAATGGCTCTCTAGGTGGGCTGTGCAGGCAAAGCAAAGCTCAGGGCTGGTTCCCAGCTGGCCTGAGCAGGGGGCCTGCCACCAGACCCACCCACGCTCTGACGAGAGGCTTTTCCACCTCCAGCAAGTGTTCCCAGCAACCAGCTCCATCCTGGCTGCTTGCCTTCCATTTCCGTGTAGATGGAGATCACTGTGTGTAATAAACCACAAGTGCGTGTCTGGGTGTGCCTGTCCTTGTGGACTGCCCCTGGGGCACCTCTGGCTGTGGTTTCATCCTGGCCACTGCTGGGTGGGGAGGGAAAAGGGGACCCTCCCTGAGTAAGAGCCATCCCAGAAACCAAAGGAGGAAGTTCAGGGTCAGGGCAAAGATGGGATTTGGAGTTCGGAAGACACAGATTCACTGCCTGGTCCTGCCACACATCAGCTGAGTCCTCTGGCAAGTCACTACCTGTCAAATTGAGCCCCTGTGTGCTCCTCTATTGCGGTTAGCAGACTGCTGCATAACAAATCTCTCCAAAACTTGTTGCCTTAAAACAATGGCGATTTTGGCCAGACACAGTGGCTCATTCTTTTAATCCCAATACTTTGGGAGGGCAAGGTGGGAGGATCACTTGAGCCCAGGAGTTCGAGACCAGGCTGGCAGCATGGTGAAACTCCATCTCTACCAAAAGTAAAGAATTAAAAAACATTAGTAGGGTGGGTTGATGTGTGCCTGTGGTCCTAGCTGCTGGGCAGGCTGAAGCGGGAGGACTGCCTGAGCCCAGAAGTTAAAGATCAGCCTGAGCAACATAGAGAAATTCCTCTCTTTAAAAAAAAAGAAAGAAAATCATTTTGATTTCTCTTGTGCAGTCTGTGGTTAATGGGCTCAGTGTGGGTGCTTCTCACTCCGACTCTCACATGGTTGCTTATGGCTATAGCAGGGACCTCAGATGGCAAATACTTATTTGTGGCCTCTCCACGTGACCCAGGCTGCCTCCCACATGGTGGCTGGATTCCAAAAGTGACTGTCCCAGGTCAGCCAGTTGGAAGCTGTGTCACCTTTTAGGGCCAAGTCTCAGAAGTCATGTGGTGTCACTTTCTGAAAGAGTGGAGGGAGGAGAGTTAGACCCCACCTCTCCACGGGAAAGTGTCAACATCATATTTCAAAGAGAAAATGCGGAATCGTAGATCTTGTTGCAGCCCTCTGAAAAAATGCAAACTGCCACCTCAGCTGTGAAACGAGAGGGCACTACTTACCACTCAGATTGTGGTTCCGTGAGGATCCAGTGCAGAGTATGCGAAGAGTATAGGGTGTGTCCCTCACCCAGAAGCACCCTCAATTCTGATTTTCATCTCTCCTCCTGACTCCAAGGCTGCTGAGCAACAGCCACAGTCCTGCAAAGTGTTCCCACTTCTGTCATCACAGCTGGTCCCTATAACAACTAAGAGAGGGACCGTCTTACAGATGACAAAACCAAGCACATCCAGGGTGGTCTAGGCAAGAAGGGCCATGGGCCGGGCGCGGTGGCTCACGCCTATAATCCCAGCACTTGGGGTGGCTGAGGCGGGCAGATTACCTGAGGTTGAGAGTTCGAGACTAGCCTGACCAACACGGAGAAACCCCGTCTCTACTAAAAATACAAAATTAGCTGGGTGGTGCATGCCTGTAATCCTGTAATCCTGTAATGCCTGTAAATTAGGTGGGTGGTGGTGCATGCCTGTAATCCCAGCTACTCGGGAGGCTGAGGCAGAAGAATCGCTTGAAACCAGGAGGTAGAGGTTGTGGTGAGCTGATGTCGCACCATTGCCCTCCAGCCTGGGCAACAAGAGCGAAACTCCGTCTCAAAAAAAAAAAAAAAAAAAAAAAGGGCCTGCAGTGATGGTGTCTCTGATGGTGGTGGTGCATTGCACTGATGGTGTCTGAGTCTCCAAGGACTGAAGCCTAGGGCAGGCCACAGTATGGGTGGTCACCCTCAGACTTCTGTGACATGGCCTTGCTAAGCAGAAGAGGCTCGGCCACACACTGGCTAAGGAGGGAGAGATATATCCAGTCCCCTCCTCTGTCTCCCTAAGGAACTGGCAATAAGTGGAAGGTCACATCGCTCAGCCAGTTGTCTGGGTCAACAGGGAAGCCAGTAGTGGGAAAAGGAAGAGAAACACAGTGGGGCTGTGATGACTGATGGAGGTCACTGGGTGTCCATGCCGCCTCTGGAGTTCCAGCATAACCTCACCATCTGCATGCTACACTTCACAGTTCCCTCCTTCCTCCATCCAGGAACCTCACTTGATCCCCTCACCAGCCCTGCGAAGCCCAGGGCTTGTGTGATAGGTGTCGATATGCCCATTTTACATAGGGGAACACTGAGGCTCAGAGAGGGTAGTCACCTGGCCAGGGATGCACAGCCAGGACATAGTGGCAGGCTTGGGACTGCACCTAGGCTCTTGGGTTTGTCCTCTAATACGTCCTTCTGAAACTTGTCTGGCAGAGCATGGAATCTGATAGGCAGCTCCATGATGCTGTGTGATTGGCAGGTAGATCCTCGTGGGGTAGAAGCCATGTGTTCCCCCCACTTCCCCAGTCTTCTGAGGGGGTCTCTCCTGCTCCTTTAGGCAGGATGGGGCATTCTTGGCCCACTGCTGCCCCCTTGCGGTCTCATACCTTGTATCCCGATGGCTGCAAACGTTTCAACTGCAAGCTTAAAAATGTAGAGTCGGCTGAGTCCTCAAAGTGCCCGGGGAGAGCACAGAGGCGGTAGAGGGTTCAATGATTTGTTCAAGGTCCCAGCCGAGACACTGGGGAGCACCCTGCTTCACAGCTGAGACTCAAGGACTGGGGGGCCTCAGGCCTCCTGCCAAGAAAGGCAGTACAGCCTCAAAGTACCCCTTTCTGGAAGAGAGAGAAGTACATTTACTGAGTCCTGCTGTGTCCCATGACAGCTAAACTAACCACAAGGATGACGATCCCTTTTTATAGATGAATGTGAAGGGGACTTACCAGGTCTCTTTCCTCCTGGTCCCTAGGAGACCACTAGGAATACATGGGATGCTTCTGGTTAGCACAATGATTGCAGGACACCTGGGCATTCAGGGGACAGGGCCAGGGATAGCAAACACCTAAAATGCATAGGACAGTCCTACCCAGTGACAAATCATCTCAACAAGAATCCCGGTGCCAACCCTGTTGAGAAACACCATGCCCTGGGTTCAAATCCTGACTCAGCCACTTCCATCCCCTACCCTCTTGGACTCCAACATTGCCTAGAGGGCCAGGCATGAAATAAAGGACAGATGAGTGCCTGGCACAGGGCCAGAGACAAGGAGTGGGCTTTTCTGAGCAGGAAGAAGGTGAGGCCTCCTGGTGTTCTGTGCCATGCTATAAGATACTCCTGGCCCAGGAAATGGCTCAACCTGGTCTGACCTCCAACTATATCACCTCTTGACCCAGGAGCAGGTGAGATGTTAGCCGGGCCCAGCTACAGCCTTCTCACCCTCTGCCTTAAAGCAGGAAAAGCCCCTGAGCCAACCTGATTCCTCTGAGCTGCACGGGGCCACAGCTGTGGCTGGAGTTTGGGCTGCAAGACAGGGCTGAAAGGCGGGGCCCAAATAGGACTCACACACACACAAATACACACACACACACACGGTCTGTGAGGTCTTGATCCTCAGAAACGAAGTACAGGCTGGGTATGGTGGCGTGCACCTGTAGTAGCAGGTACTTGAGAGGCTGAGATGGGAGGATCACATGATCCCAGGGAGGTAGAGACTGCAATGCTGCACTCCAGCCTGAACAACAGAATAAGACCCTTTCTTTAAAAAAAAAAAAAAATACAGGCCACAAGCAGTTAACCTCGCAGTTAATTTGGGAAGAATTTTTTCCAAAAATCATGTAAAATATTCAATTCAGCTTTACAGTTAAAAATAAGAAATTCCATTCTTTTAGGGAAGATGAAAAAGTCCTGTTGCATGGATGGTGGTGATGGCTGCACGACGATGTGAATGTACTTTTGCCACTGAATTGTATCCTTAAAAATGGTTAAAATGGTAAAATTTTGTTATGTATATTTTACACAATAAAGAAAAAAGAAACTCCAAATGTTCTTTAATAAATGCCTTAAGCGGCCGGGTGCGGTGGCTCACCCGGCCTGTAATCCCAGCACTCTGGGAGGCCGAGGCAGGCAGATCATCTGAGGTCAAGAGTTCAATAAATGCCTTATGCATCTTACAACTGTATTGGGAAGAGAAGAAGAAATCAGCAATGAGGGAGTGAAGCAGAGGCCTGGGAATCATGATGTGGACAGAAAGAAGGGACAATCAGGAGCCTCCCCTGCACCTGCTGCAGTCCCAGGCCCGTGTTCCAGGGTTCTTCAAGGCAGAAAGCCCCAGTGCCTCACCCCAGGAGGGGGCTTTTCTCTCATATCCCAGCCCCTTGGGAGGCTTTTTCTTCTCACTCCCTGGGCTGGGAGTCAAGAAGACCTCAGTAGGAGTCCAGCCTCTGCAGCCTTGCTGCGTGTCTGACAACAAAACCCTTTCCCTTTCTGGGCTTCAGGGTCACCGACATGTACCACAAGGAGGATTCCCAACCTCTCTTCTTGCCCAAACGCTGCATGATTCTCTCAGCGACGATACAGCTCGTCCGGTTCACCCTGCCTAGATTCTAGCAGGAACTATGGTGCCCTGAAGGTCAAGCCCATGGTGATCTCCTTGGTCAGCCCCAGAAGGGACCCTGGGCTCTCCTTCTGCTCTTCCTGCTGCCCCTTCATGGGGCTGGGAAAACCTAGGACCTGCTTCTCCCACCCTGAGGCCCCTACTGTGTACCAGGCCCGGGTAAGGTACCAGTCACATACTCGCACTTAGGCCTCACAGTTCATCCCATTTTATGCACAAGGCGACTCAAAGACTGAGTCTGGCCCAGAGAAGGCCTGCAGGAGCTCCGAGCCCCGCCTGGGCGCCGGGAGCAGGGGCGGGGTCGTCCGGGACCCTTTCCCGGAAGGGAGGCCGCAGGGGCCTGCGGGGCGGGGCCTGCGGGGCGAGGCCCGGGGCGCGTCCCGGAACCAGAGACGGGGCAGCGCTCGAGTTCCTGCGCGGGACTGCCAAGGCACGACCACGGGCCGGAAGGCTGCCAGGCCCAGTGGGCAAGCGAAGAAATGAACCACCGCAACGCGGGCGCTTCGGGGCGGGGCCGAGTGCGAACCTGAGCCCCAAATCCCGACCCAGGCAGGGGCGGGGCCCGGAGCGGGGCCTTGGAGGCCCAGCCCGCGCGGCGACGTCTCCGCGTGGCGTCACGGCACCGACTGACGGCCACCCACCATGGCCGCAGACCAGCGCCCGAAGGCCGACACGCTGGCCCTGAGGCAACGGCTCATCAGGTACCCGGGCGGGGGGCGGGCGGCGGGGGGCGCGGGGCTGCGCGGAGAGGCACGCGCACGCACGACGCACGCACGCACGCACTACGCACGCGCCTCCGGCTAGGAAGCCGCTGCTACCCATCCCGTCCGGCCGCTGCCCCGGCCCCGCTGGAGCTTCTAGGGCCCGAGGCGGGCGGCGCCGTTGGGCAGTCCCGGCGGGTGGTCTCCGGGGCCGCCTCCCCGACAGCGCCGTCTCCAGGCCGCCCAGTTCAGGAGACGGCCCCGCCCTCACCGCTGTTCGGCTGTGTCAGCCTCGCTTGGCAGCCTTTACTCCGGAGAAGACCTTCACCCTGGCGCCTGAGAGGACCTCACCCAGGGTGGCCCGTCAGCAGCACCTGGGCCTGGCTCGAGAGTGACCTGGGAGGGGGCTGAAAGGGCAGACAAGGGAGAGTCGGGGGAGTCGGTTCACAGGCAGCACACTTGACCTGTGAGGGGGCCCTCGGTGGGACGGTGGGTGAGGTCGCCTCCCACTGGAGCTTAGGGCTGGCACCCAGCGAGGGGCAGCAGGGCCACGTGGCTGGCAAGGAGCTGTTTAGGGCTGAGAGCCAGGCACCTAATGTTGGTGCCCTGGCCCATCCCATCGAAGACACGCGGCCTTATGGAGTCCCCATGGGACGGGGCAGCCACCTTTTCTCAGGATCCGGGAGACTGACGCGGACACATGCAGAAATGAGCAAGGAGGCCACAGAGGCTGAAAATGCTTTCAGAAACAATCCGAAGTTTCAGCGACTTGTTACCCCATCTGCTTCCTGCTTTGCAACCACCTGTGGAGTGGAGAGACAAGGCAGGGAAGCAGCACCTTGCCCTTCCAGCTCTCATTTCCCCCCCGCCACCAGAAACTGGGAAGGGGTGGGCGGGGGTCTGCGATGAGTAGACTTCACCCTTTCGGTCTTCAGACATGGCTGTCCACTCCTTGCCTGTCCCCACAGCTCTTCCTGCAGACTCTTTTTTCCCGAGGATCCTGTTAAGATTGTCCGGGCCCAAGGGCAGTACATGTACGATGAACAGGGGGCAGAATACATCGATTGCATCAGCAATGTGGCGCACGGTCAGTATCACACCTCAGGCTGGCAGGGCAGGAGAGGAAGGCAGTGCTGTGAACCTGGTCCCAAGGTGACCTGAGATTGCCGAGAGGTGTGGAGAACCTGGGTGGAGTTGAGGCACTGTCAGTATGCAGAGGAGGCTCAGCCTTCGCAATATAGCTGTGGAATTCTGCAATCTGGAGCTGTGCTAAACCAGGCAGGGGTCAGCAATCTAGGTCTGTGAGTCTAGTTCCACTTGGGACTGATGATGAGCTCACAAAGTGGCAGATGGCCCAGCTGTGACCAGCAACGTAGCACAGTGCTGGCCAAGTGCTGGGGTCATGGCAGTGCTTCAGCCCCATTGGCCATCTCAGGTGCTAGGCAAGGGAGCTGAAGTAGGAATTCAGTCATCTTGATGAGGCTGCCAGAGCTGATGGAAAGAAAGGGAGTCTGAGACTCAGCAGGCACATGGAAGATGAATAAAGTTGAGGTTAAAAAAAAAAAAAAAGCAGAGACTCTAGTCTTAGACTGCTTGGGCTCAAATCCCTGTCCCCTACTTACTAACTTGTGATCTCGGGCAAGTTACTTAATTCTCAGTGCCTCAGTTTGCTTATCTGTGAAAGACATAATGATACTAGGTACCCACTTTAAGGTGTTTGGAGAATTAAGTGTGTTAATTTATGTAGCTTGCTCTGAATGTGCCTGGCACATGGTGAGCTCTCAGTACATATTCACTGTTATTATCCTTGGCCTTTGACAATCAAGATTACCACCAGCCCCCTTGGCTGGTGAAGTGAAACCAGTTGACAGTCACCCCCCACCCCACCTTTGTCATACAAGCCTCAAAAGGCCTTCCAGCCTGGGCAACATAATGAGACCTTGTCTCTACCAAAAAAAAACTTAAAAATTAGCCAGGCATGGTGACTGGTGTCTATAGCCCCACCTGCTCAGGAGGCTGAGGTGGGAGGACCACTTGAGCCCAGGAGTGTGAGGATGCAGTGAATGCCATGATCACACCATACACTCCAGCCTGGGTGACAGAGTAAGGCCCTGTTAAAAAAAAAAAAAAAAGTCCTCCTTAAAGACATGGGCTTTCTAGACAGGGTTCTTCTGCTGAAGCGGCTTTCCTTCTGCCAGAATCTCAGGAACTCCTGGATCTGCCTTTCCAGAACCAGCTTCTCTCTCCCTGCTCTGCCTTCAGACTGCCCTCTTTCTACCTCTCCCTCTAGAACTACATCTCTTCTGGCTGGGTTTATAGCTTGGGGCTGGGGGAGGCCCAGTGGGACTGGCTGAGTGGAGCCAGCCGTGTGACGGAGGCGGCCCTCTTCCAGTTGGGCACTGCCACCCTCTCGTGGTCCAAGCAGCACATGAGCAGAACCAGGTGCTCAACACCAACAGCCGGTACCTGCATGACAACATCGTGGACTATGCGCAGAGGCTGTCAGAGACCCTGCCGGAGCAGCTCTGTGTGTTCTATTTCCTGAATTCTGGGTAAGTGGACTGTGGCCAGCCCCCGGGAAGAGGGTGAGACGGTAACAAAGACAGTCACTCACATGGGCCCAGTGTAGTGTAGCTGACCGAGTGTGGACTCGGAGAGGCAGCCCCCACTGCACCAGGCTCCTGAGATTCCCGGCTGTAGGCCCTGATGCTTTCTCTGTTGGATCCAGTTTCCTTGTCTCTTATTGAAGGATGTTATTACCTCCTTTCTAGGATCATTGCTGGAGCTTAGTGAGGTAATATGTTCCTTTATTTCTGCCTTAAGGATACAGCCAAAATCCCTGCCTGTGGGTTGCTCAGTAAGGAAGGAAAACATCAAGTGATTCTTCAAAGAAATACAGAATTGCAAGGAGGGCTCTGGAGGAAGTGTACAGGGTATCATGAGGCCTAGAAAAAGTGAGGGGACCTGACCTGGGGGTTCAGGGAAACCTTCCCTGAGGAAGGGCTGTTAAGCTCAGAGCTGACTAGGAGATAACTAGAAGAGGAGGAAGGAAGGGTGCTGCCACTGCATCAGAAGTCTCGTCAAGGCTGGGCACGATGGCTCATGCCTGTAATCCCAGCACTTCGGGAGATCGAGGTGGGCGGATCACCTGAGGTCGGGAGTTTGAGACCAGCCCGGCCAACAGGGCGAAACCCCGTCTCTACTAAAAATACACAAAATTTAGCTGGGCGTGGTGGTGGGTGCCTGTAATCCCAACTACTCAGGAGGCTGGGGCAGGAGAATCGCTTGAACCGGGAGGCGGAGGTTGCAGTGAGCCAAAATTGCACCACTGCACTGCAGTCTGCAGGACAGAGAGAGGCTCTATCTCAAAAAAAAAAAAAAAAAAAAATAGTCTCATCAAAACTCTTGTCAAGGTTGGTCACCACACAGAACTGCCTGTGGAAAGGCCCTGTAGCAGGAAAGGATATGGTACCCAGCACACTTGAGGAACCGAAAGAAGTCCACGAAGGGAAAGCAGAGGCTGTGAGCTGTTGGGAGGCAAGCAGGGCGCATCACCTAGGGCCTTCTCCGCCAAGTGGGGAAGCTGTCTTTATCCTAAGAGCATTGGGAAACTATCGGAGGCTTTAATCAGGAAACGATGTCTTAAAGGGAACGGAGTGCAAGAGTGGACACTGTTAGGTGCCAGTTCAGTGGCCAGGTGAAAGGTCATGGTAGCTCACACTAGGATCGGCAGTGGAGACAAACAGGCAGGCGATTACAGTGTATCTGGGAGAGAACATTCCAACAAATCGTAGGTGGTGGCGTTGAATTATAGTGATGATTACTGTGGCCACTCACACAGTACAGACATCTGCCCCCCAGATAATTTCTAGGAAGTGGAATTCACCATCTTCATTTTACAGGTGGGGTAACAGCAGTTCAAAGAAAGGAACTTGAGCCCAGACATTTGCCATGTCAAGAGCTGGAGCCTCTGGAAAGAGAAGGGAGCTGGTGCTTCCTCAGTGGTGGTGGAGGAGGGGCATTCTTATGCCACCAGCTTTATTCTGTGTGGATTCCAGGGACTTCCATGTTGCCAAATCCAAAGCAATCTCTTTGCTGCATTGTCTTACTCTGTCCCAGCAGTAATTGACAGTTACCACTCTCCGGAAGTGGTCTGTCATCTTGCTTCCCGGGCACTGTGCTCTCCTGTTTTCTATCAGCTTCTCTAGCCACTCCTTCCCTGTCTTCTTTGCTGATTCCTCCTCTGTTCCTTGGGGCTGATCCTGGGCCACTTTTCTCTCTGAGCCCTCTCCTCAGGTGATCTCTTCCATTCTCTTGGTATTACATAGCATCCATGTGTTGGTGACTCACAAATTTTTTTGAGCCCAGACATGTCCCATGTGTTCCAACTCGAGGTTCTAACTGCCCCTGTGACATCTGACAAACATCTCCAGCTTCATGTGTTCAAAAGGGCAAGGGTTGATTGGACCATGGTACTGTTCTCCCTCACCTGCCCAAGAAGGCTATCCCCACTCACCCCCGCTCATCTTGCCTTGTAAAGGGCATCACCACCTATATCTGCTCCAGGCAGAAACCACACGCTCCCCAGTCCTGCATCAATCCTGCCTCCTCCATCTCCATGATGCCTCTTAACTCCCTCCACCTCTCCATCTCCATGGCCACCACCTGCTCTCACCTGGCGTCCTCCTCCTTGGTCTTCTCCTTCTACTTTTATTCTTGTCAACTCCATTAGACACAGCCAGAGGCCACCTCCTAAAATAGGAGCTGACTTATGTCCCTTTTCTCATTAAAACTCTTCAGTGGCTTCACATGGCACTGAGAAGAAAACTCAGGCTCCTTCCCAGCCCTGTGCACATGTCCCCTGCATGTCTCCCCACTTCCTCTCCTACCCTGCCCTCCTTAGGCCCTGGCCTCCCTCATCTTCTCCTGGTTCCCGGAGCACACTGAGCTCTTTTCCTTCACAAGGCCTTGGAGCATGCTGCTCCATCTGCCTGGAAACCTCTCCCTCAAGACTCAGTACATGAGTCACCTCCCCATAGACGCTTCCCCTGACCCTCTGTGTTGGTCTGCTCTGGCTCTCATAAGAAAATACCAGAGACTGAGTGGCTTAAACAAAAGACATTTATTTTCTCACAGTCCTGGAGGCTGGAAGTCCAAGACCAAGGTGTTCGCAGGGTTGGTTTCTTCTAAGGCCTCTCTCCTTGGCTTGGAGATGGCCCTGGTTGGTCTTCTGAGTGCAGGTGTCCCTGGTGTCTCTTTGTGTGTCCAGATTTTCTCTTATAAGGACACTGGTGAGATTGGATGAGGGGCCCCCTGACGGCCTCATCTTAATGTAATCACCTCTCTTATCTCCATATCCATTCACATACGGGCCATTGCGAGCTACCGGGGATTAGGGGTTCAACACATAAATTGGGGGTGGGGGGGTGCAGCTCAGCCCATAAACATGCCCCCTCTGGCTCGCTCTCCCAGGGCATCCATCGTAGCACTTAGAAAAATGATCACTTCTTCTTTTTTGGCTTTGTGGTGGCGTGTGTGTGTGTGTATTTGTATATACACACATATATATATAAATACACAGACACACATATATACAAACACACGCATTCATTTTCGTCCACAGTTCCTGGCTCATAACTCCCACAGCCCTTGTTACACTCTTTTGTTACAACATTGGGTGTGTCAGGCCTCAGGAGACAATCACTCTAACCTCCTGCCCTTCCTTTTACCTGCCCAAGACAGGACTCTAATCTTCCCTACCTTTCTGATGGTGGGTCATAAAACTCATTCCAGAGACGGTCCCACCCCATATCCTGCTAGAAGGAATGCTGCTGTCATGAAGCTTCCATAAAAACCAAGGGGACTGGATTCAGAGAGCTTCCAGATAACTGAACATACAGAGGTTCTAGAAGGGTGGTGCGCCCAGGGAGGGCACAGGAAGCTCCATGCCCTTCCTTCATACCTCACCCTATGCATCTCTTTATCTGTATCTTTTATAATATCCTTTATAATAAACCAGTAAATGTATTTCCCTTAGTTTTGTGAGCCACTCCAGCAAATTGAACCTACAGAGGGAATTGTGGGAACCTCAACTTGAAGCCAGTCGGTCAGAAGTTCCAAAGGTCACCCGGGCGCGGTGGTTCACGCCTGTAATCCCAGCACTTTGGGAGGCCGAGGCGGGTGGATCAGGAGTTTGAGACCAGCCTAGCCAACATGGTGAAACCCTGTCTTTACTGAAAATACGAAAAATTAGCTGGGCATCGTGGTGGGCGCCTGTAATCCCAGCTACTTGGGAGGCTGAAGCAGGAGAATTGCTTGAGCCTGAGAGGCAGAGGCTGCAGTGAGCTGAGATCGCGCCACTGCACTCCAGCCCGGGCAACAGAGTGAGACTGTCTCAAAAAAAAAAAAAAAAAGAAATTCCAAAGGTGGCCAGCATGGTGGCTCATGCCTGTAATTCCAGTACTTTGAGGCCGAGGTGGGAGGAATGCTTGAGCCCCCAGTCTGGGCAATATAGTGAGACCCCATCTCTGCAAAAAAAGAAGTTCCAGAGGCCCAGACTTGCTACTGGTGCCCAGGGGGCTGTGGGGCAGCTTGGGCATTGAGCCCTCATGCTGTGGGATCTGATGCTGTCTCTAGGTAGATAGTGTTGGAATTGAATTGGAGGACACCCAACTGGTGTCCGCTGCAGAACTGATTGCTTGCCTGGTGGTGGGGAGAAATCCTTACATATTTTTTGGAGTCACAGAAGTCTTCTGTGTTGATTGTTGTAGTGTGAAAGCAGAGGAAAAACAATGGTTTGGGTTTTTTCAAAACAACTTTCATGACACATACGAGAATGTAAATTCCAGAAGGGCCAAGGCCATGTCTGTTTTACCTACTCTTTTTCCCCCAGCTTCTAGTACATAGGAGGCATTTGATATATACCAAACAAACAAGCAAGTGACTGACTAGTTGATGTCCTGAGAATCTTCTTGCTGCTGGAAGGGTCCTCCTGCCCTCAGCATTTCTCTCTGGGAAGCTCTTAGACTACTCTCTCAGTCATGCCCACCTTTTCGGTCATAGGTCAGAAGCCAATGACCTGGCCCTGAGGCTGGCTCGCCACTACACGGGACACCAGGACGTGGTGGTATTAGATCAGTAAGTGCAACTCACAGCCCTACCGTTCCCAGAAGCCTGGCCCACAGGCTTCTTGGTGATCCGTGAGACTGACTCTGGGTGCCTTAGGCAGGGAGGATAAGGGGCCTGGGCTACTGAAGACAAGTGTGGCAGGCAGAGGACCAGGCCTGAGACCTCCCAGAGGCTCTGTCACCCTGGGCCACCATTCTGGGAAGGCAGCTCTGGGGAGCAGAGTGCGCTTTGTAAGAGACTCAAAGGTGGTCCCACAACATTGTACATGTTCAAACTACTCCAGCAGTAGCTCCCATGAATTGAGTATGTGATGTGCACAAAGCCGAGGCTGACAATATCAACACATTTAAGATTCATTATAAACCAGAAGGAGGAAATCCCACCTCATTTCACAGCAGAGAAAACAACCGAGAGAGATTAAATGATGAGCTGCTGTCACATAGCCAGTCAGCAGTCTTGCAAGAATTGTTGCTGACTCCAAAGCTTGTGCTCTTTCCCAGCCCAAGAACTTGGGGGCTCTGTCAGGAAAGTTGGCCTCCCTTGTGTGTCTTCAGGGGTGGGGAGACGATGGTCAGACTGGGCCAGGGAGTAGGTGCTGCCCGGACCCGAGCCTACCCTCCCTTCTCCTCCCCAGTGCGTATCACGGCCACCTGAGCTCCCTGATTGACATCAGTCCCTACAAGTTCCGCAACCTGGATGGCCAGAAGGAGTGGGTCCACGTGGTATGCACTGCCCAACTCAACAACAGGTCGGTGCCTGTCCCCAAGCCCGGATAACATGGCGCTGTCACTCCCCACAGGCACCTCTCCCAGACACCTACCGGGGCCCCTACCGGGAGGACCACCCCAACCCAGCTATGGCCTATGCCAACGAGGTGAAACGTGTGGTCAGCAGTGCACAGGAGAAGGGCAGGAAGGTAACCGTGTCCGCGCCTGTCCAATCCAGCCAACAGTGAATGTCACCTCCGTTGTCACCGCCACTGTGCTAGATGCTGGGAACCCAGAGAGAAAACCAAACGAGGCCCTGCCCTCCAGGAATCTGGGATAGGGGCAGTTTGGGCTCAGCAGAGAGTCTGAGTGCACGGCCTAGCATGGGCGTGGTAGCCAGCCAGAGCCTGAGCAGGCCTTGGGAGGTACCAAGCGGGGTCCTTGGAGGGGGTGCTCTCTGACACAGTAGGGGTCAGCCACTCCAGGTGGGGTGGGGAGTAGCAGAGGAAGGGCATCCCACTGGGTGGCTGAGGAACCGTGTGAATGTGTGGCCAGGAGCTGATCCTGGAGAGGCAGGCAGGGTCCACATGCCAGAGGGCACCGGAACTATGCTGGGCGGCAGCAGTTCTGCCCTGGAGGCCCCCGGGAACCACCAGAGTCTTAAGCAGGAGAGCGCTAAGACCTGGGGCCGGGGCTGCTCTCTGACTCCAGGGCTATGTGGAGGATGGATTGGAATGCGGCGGCTTGAGGTCAGGTGACCGTGAAGTGGCCAGCAGGCCCCAAGTGAGCTGTGGGGAGGCCTGACGGGGGCAGTATGGTGGAGATGGAGTGGAGGCGCAGACATAGGAGAGAGAGGTGTGTTACCTACGGTGACAACAGAGGGAAGACTGTTGGCGACAGGTGAGGGCTCTCTGAAGGCTTCACTGAAGGAGTGACAGAGCCAGACACAGGAGGTACGACAAAGAAAGGCAGCCTGTGGGGCCAGAAAGGTTAGCAGAACCCGACCAGGGGAGCCTTGCCTGTGTGTTTCAGGTGCTCTGCGACCACTTCTATAAAACCTAAAAAAGGAGATTGCTCTGATTGCAACAGGTGTGGGGGACCAGTATCCCATCCCATTGGCCCTGCCCTCCCACCTGTAAGGCAGAATATGGTTGGGAAATCATTGCCATATGCAGAAGGGGTCACTGAGGGGTTTTAAACAACAGTGACATGCTCAGTTCTCTGGGTTGAGGCATCATCACCCTGGTGGCCATGTGGAGGATGGACTGGAAAAGGCATTCAGTTAGAAGACCTCTGCAGGAGTCCAAGGAAGAAACAGGCAAATCTGCAGGAGGCAGGCATGTCCAGGCAGAGGGCAAGGAGTAGGTTTAGAGAGGGGGCTGAGGTAGAATCCTTGGGCAGTGCTGACTGATGGGTTGAGGGAGGAGGCGTGGATCAAAAATGGGGGACAGGGAAGGAACTGGCTTATGGTGGAAAAATCAGTGCATGTAGTTTGGGGCATGCCAAGTACTAGGGGCCTGGAGGCATCCAGGTAGTAAGAGTTGGCTGGAGGCCTGAGAGAAAACTGAGTCACAAACCTTCAGATGTAACATGGAACCCAAAGTAGGGGTGCAGCACTGATGGTGACTTGTCTTGCTTGGACTAAGCCAGCACTAGCAGGGCACGCTAAGCCGGTCACTGCACAACCCCATGGTCGTGTTCCCAATGTCCATCTCTTCACAGATTGCAGCCTTCTTCGCTGAGTCTCTGCCCAGTGTGGGAGGGCAGATCATTCCCCCTGCTGGCTACTTCTCCCAAGTGGCAGAGTGAGTAGGTGGGCGGGGTCTGCTCTAGGGAGGGCAGGGGTCTAATGAGGTTTTCCAACCTCTGGTCCAAATCCCAACCTCAGCCTGTCCTGACTGCCAGAATTTTGAGACAAAGCCCTTAAAGAAAGAATGGCCCAGAGAAGGCCAGCCATTGCCCAAGGTCCCCACCTTACTGCTGGCAGAGCCAGGGTGCAAAGCCCCGAGACCTCCTGGGTCCTGATCTTATCCCTCTCAACCACAGCCCCCGTGTCAGTCATCTCCTCTGCCACAGGCACATCCGCAAGGCCGGAGGGGTCTTTGTTGCAGATGAGATCCAGGTTGGCTTTGGCCGGGTAGGCAAGCACTTCTGGGCCTTCCAGCTCCAGGGAAAAGACTTCGTCCCTGACATCGTCACCATGGGCAAGTCCATTGGCAACGGCCACCCTGTTGCCTGCGTGGCCGCAACCCAGCCTGTGGCGAGGGCATTTGAAGCCACCGGCGTTGAGTACTTCAACACGGTGAGTGATGGCTCTAAGTCAAGGGAGCAACATGGGTTCTGATAGGCCCCCGGTGATCAGCCTGTCCTTAGTCAGCAAAGGCTACAGGGCTAGCACTGTGCCCAGCACACGCTTCCAAGACGCTGTCCTTAAGGAGATTATAGCCAGGTCAGGTAAGAAAACATAAAACATCTTTTAAAATTAGTGTCAATCCAAAAGCTGTCACAAGGGACCATGTCTTATAAAATATATACAAAAATAGGAGTCCCTGTCTTCCTTTCAGCAGATGCCACCCATTCTGTGCCACGCCCTGTGTCAGGTGCTGGAACTTGAGCTGGTTAAGAGTTGTGAGGAGTGTGGTGTGCTTGGGTAACACATGATCTCAGAGCAGAGTTCGCATTGCAGTGGCTCCCTGTCTTTGGGGTACAGGGTCAAGAGCTTTCCCTGAGTGAAGCTGACACATGGCATATTCAGTGGCCCTGAGGCAGCAGTTGCAGGGTAGGTGAGAGGATGGCAGCACGAGCCCCACAGGAAAGAGCCGAGGAGTCTCACTGATCTTGAAGAGTGAGGACCACAGGAGGGTTTTAATCCTGGAGAGAGTACTCTTTGGAAAGATCTCTGGTGCTCAGTGTGGAGAAAGAACTGGAGGAAGGCAGACTGATCCAGGGAGGAGAGGAGGAGGCCCAGAGGAGGAAGGGCAGGGACAGAGGGTTGAGAATTCACTGTAAGTTCCTCAAAAAGAGCCAGTTTGAATTGGGGACTAAAACATGTCAGGATTTGGCAAGATAGATAAGGCAAGATAATGTCCTTAGGGGTGAGGGAAGTGACACTTTGGTGCATTCAGCCAAAAACCATCACTCTGTCCATGTGACACATAGAGCCTCAGAGGAGCTCACTGTCGGGGAAAGACAGGCTCACAGACACATGGTCATGACAGCGTGGAGGATGAGTGGAAGTAGTGTGTTCACGGTGCTGTGAGAGCACAAAGGACATCCCAGGCAAGAGGTGGGTGAAGAGCTGTGGGACAAGCAGTAGAGGCTTCATAGAGAAGGCAAGACCAGATCTCAGTCTGGAAGGCTGAGCAGGAAATCAAGTGGGTTGTGTAAGGGGAACAACAAAGGCCCAGTGGAGCAGCATCCTGACTTTTGTTTATTTCTTTGTTTTACTTGACCCTCAAGTGTACATAATTAGATAGAATCCTTGGTTCATGGAAGACTCTCAACATCTGTCTGTGCATAGCCCTCTTCTAGTTATTCAGTTAACCTTTATTAATGTTCTAAGCACCTGGGAAGCCAGCATCCCTAATGAAAGCTTAGACCTTGATAATATCATGTATCTCTCCAGATGTTCCCCCCAATTCCCTCTTGTTGCCTTCTCCACCCATCACTCTGAATAACCATGGTAACCATCACTCTCAATCCCATATTATTTAGTTGTTATTTGAGTTTATATGAAGTCTATCATGCTGTATATACTCTGGGGATTTTTTTTTCTACTAACATATCACTAAGAATCCTCCCTATTGCCTGTCACTGAAGTTCATTTGCTTTGACTGCTTTATAATCTTTGTATAAATGTACCACAGTTCAGTCATCCATTACTATTGCTGTGCTTTGAGGTCGTTCCATGTTTTTTTTGTTTTTTTTTTTTTTTTGCAATTATGAACAGTGCTGCTTTGAATAGTTTTCATAAGTCTCTGTTGTACATGTAGCAAGAGTTTTTCTTAGGACTGTACCTGAGGGTGGAATTGCTGGCCCATATGGTATGTGTTTACCCTTCATTTTAAAAGATAATGACATTTGTTTTCTAAAGTAGTTCACAAGTTAACACCCCACCAGTAGTGTATATAGTGTATATCCTTTTTTGTTTTTGTTTTTTTGAGACAAGAGTTTCACTCTTGTTGCCCAGGCTGGAGTGCTGTGGCGCGATCTCGGCTCACTGCAACCTCTGCCTCCTGGGTTCAAGCAACTCTCCTGCCTCAACCTCCCCAGTAGCTGGGATTACAGGCATGCGCCACACCTGGGTAATTTTGTATTTTTAGTAGAGATGGGGTTTCTCCATGTTGGTCAGGCTGCTCTTGAACTCCTGACCTCAGGTAATCCGCCCGCCTCAGCCTCCCAAAGCACTGGGATTACAGGCATGAGCCACTGCATCCGGCATTCTTTTTTTTTTTTTTTTTTTGAAACGGGGTCTCACTCTGTCACCCAGGCTGGAGTGCAGTGACGCGATCTCAGCTCACTGCAGCCTTTACTTCCAGAGCTCAAGTGATCCCCCCACTTCAGCCTGCCAAGTACCTGGGACCACCGGTGCATGCTACCATGCCCAGCTAATTTTTTGTATTTTTGGTACAGATGGAGTTTCACCATGTTGCCCAGGCTGGTCTCAAACTCCTGAGCTCAAGCGATCGGCCCACCTCGGCCTCCCAAAATGCTGGGATTACAAGGCATGAGCCACTGCACCCGGCCTATATCTTCTTCAGTGCCTTTTAATTTTTGCCAGTCAAGTGGAGCGTAAAACAGTAGCTTGTATGGTCTTGATATGCCATTCCCTGATTTCAGATTACGTGAAGTATCTCTTCATATGTTTATTGACCATTTGTTTGCTCTTCAATGAAATGCCCATTTGTGGTCGGGTGCGGTGGCTCACGCCTGTAATCCCAGCACTTTGGGAAGCCGAGGTGGGCAGATCACGAGGTCAGGAGATCGAGACCATCCTGGCTAACACGGTGAAACCCCATCTCTACTGAAAAATAGAAAAAATTAGCCGGGCGTGGTGGCGGGCACCTGTAGTCCCAGCTACTCGGGAGGCTGAGGCAGGAGAATGGCGTGAACCCGGGAGGCGGAGCTTGCAGTGAGCCGAGATTGCGCCACTGCACTCCAGCCTGGGCGACAGAGACTCCATCTCAAAGAAAAAAAAAAAAAAATGCCTATTTGTGTCTTTTGTGTCTTTTGCCCATTTTTTTTTTATTGAGTTACCAGTGCTTAATTTTATTTGTGGGAGTTTTGTGTCTGTTTGTATGTGTGTGTGTCTGTGTGTGTGTGTATATACCAACACATACATATCTATTATGCTAATCCCTTGTCTATTGTGTATTTGTGAATATGTTCATCCAGTTTATAACCTGTCTTCACTCCCTTTACATATTTATAAAGTTTTAAATTTTAACATTGTCAACTCTTATCATTTTGTTTTATAGACGGTGTTTTTCATATATTGTTTAAGATATCTCTCCCTACTCCAAGTTATAAAATATATTCATTTATGTTTCCTCTTAAGTCTTTTAACATTTTGTTTTGACATATAGGTCCTTAATCCATCTGGAGTTTATTTTTGTACACGATGTGAATCAGGAATCCAATTACATCCTTTGTGCATGTCATACTACAGTGTTTTCCTTTACTTTTTTTTGTTTTTTGAGACGGAGTCTTGCTCTGTTTTCAGGAGTAAAATGTTGGCTCAAATTTTTTTCTTATACCTTGGGTTTTGGTAACTGGGTCCTACTAACCTTATAGAATAAATTGGGAAATATTTCTTCTTTTTCTTTTACATAAAATTGGGATGATCTGTCCTTTGAAGGTAAAAACTCACCTATAAAGCCATCTGGGCCTTGTGTTTTGTGGGAAGATATTTAACTGCTGCTTTAACTTCTTTAAAAGTTATGTTTTAGTGAGTTCAAGATGCTATAACTATAACAAAATACCATAGACTGGGTGGGTTATAAACAGATTTCTCACTGTTCTGAAGGCTGCAAATCTAAGATCAGGGCACCAGCATGGTTGGGGTTCTGGTGAGAGTCCTCTTCCGGGTTGCTGACAGCCAGCTTCTCGCTGTACCTCATATTGTCGAAAGGGTGAGCACTCCCTGGGATCTCTTTTAGAAAACCATATTCGCATTCATGAAGGCTCTATTCTTGTGACCTAATAACCTAAAGGCCCCACCTCTTAATACCATCACATTGGAGGTTAGGATTTCAACACATGAATTGGGAGAGACACAAACATTCAATTCACTGCAAGTTACATAGGGTTTTTAACGTTTTCATATTTGTTCTGCCCCTTTCCTCTCCTTCTGGGACAGTCATTTGCATGTTGGTATGCTTGTGTCCTTGGGTCTATATGACTGTTTTTCTTTTCTTTCTTTTTTTTTTTTTTTTTTTTTTGAGACGGAGTTTCGCTCTGTCACCCAGGCTGGAGTGCAGTGGCGCGATCTCGACTCACTGCAAGCTCCGCCTCCCGGGTTCATGCCATTCTCCTGCCTCAGCCTCCCGAGTAGCTGGGACTACAGGCGCCCGCTACCACGCCCGGCTAATTTTTGTATTTTTTAGTAGAGACGGGGTTTCACCGTGTTAGCCAGGATGGTCTCGATCTCCTGACCTCGTGATCCGCCCGTCTCGGCCTCCCAAAGTGCTGGGATTACAGGCGTGAGCCACCGCGCCCAGACATGACTGTTTTTCTTTATTCCTTTTTCTTTCTGGTCTTCAGACTGGACAATCTCAATTGACTTTTTTTTTTTTTTTCTGAGACGGAGTCTCGCTCTGTCGCCCAGGCTGGAGTGCAGTGGTGTGATCTCGGCTCACTGCAAGCTCTGCCTCCCGGGTTCACGCCATTCTCCTGCCTCAGCCTCCCGAGTAGCTGTGATTACAGGCGCCCGCCATGATGCCCAGCTAATCTTTTGTATTTTTAGTACAGACGGGGTTTCACCATGTTAGCCAGGATGGTCTCGATCTCCTGACCTCATGATCCACCCGCCTCAGCCTCCCAAAGTGCGGGGATTACAGGTGTGAGTCACCGCGGCCGGCTGACTTTTTTTTTTTTTTTCACTGATTCTTTCATCTGCCGGCTTAAATCTGCTGTTGCCAGGTGCAGTGGCTCACGCCTGTAATTTCCTAGCACTTTGGGAGGCTGAGGTGGGCGGATCACTTGAGGTCCCGGGTTTAAGACCAGCCTGGCCAACACAGTGAAACTCCGTCTCTACTAAAAATACAAAAATTAGCCAGATGTGGTGGCATGCACCTATAGTCCCAGCTAGTTGGGAGGCTGAAGCACCAGAATCGCCTGAACCTGGGAGGCGGCAGCTGCAGTTTGCTGAGATCGCACCACTGCACTCCATCCTGGGTGACAGCGAGACTGTCTCAAAAAAAAAAAAAAAATCTGTTGAGCCTCTCTAGTAAATGCTTCATTTCATTTATTGTGCTTATCAACTTCAAATTTTCTGATTGATTTTTAATAATTTATCTATCATTAGACTCTGTTTTGGTAAGACATCATTTTCATGCTTTGCTTTCAATTTTTTAAGTATAGTTTCCTTTAGGTCTCTTAACATATTTGGTTTTGGGGTTGTTTCTGTTTGCTTGTTTGGATACAGGGTCTCACTCTGTTGCCCAGGCTGGAGTCTTGGCTCACTGCAGCTTCAGCCTCTGGAGCTCAAGTGATCCTCCTGCCTCACCCCGCAAGCAGCTGGGAGTACACACATGTGCCACCACGCCTGGCTATTTTTATTTTTTGTAGAGATGGGGTTTCACCATGCTGCCCAGGCTGGTCTCGAACTCCTCACCTTAGGCAACTCACCCATCTTGGCCTCCCAAAGTGCTGGGATTACAGGCATGGGCCACTGCACCCAGCTAACATGTTTGTAACATCTGATTTAAAGTCTTTATCCAGTAAGGTCAGTGTCAGCTTCCTCGGGCGCAGTTTGCATTGATTGCTTTTTTTCCTCCCGTGTCTGGGCCATGCTTCTTTGCATGTTTCAGAATTTTGTTAAAAGCTGGACATTTTAAGTAACATAATGTGGCAACTGTGGAAATCATATTCTCCTCCCTCCCCATGGTGGTTCCTTTTTCTTGTTTAATGTCTTTTCTGAACTAATTATGTAAAGTTGTGTTCTTTGTCATGTGTGGCCACTATAGTCTCTGCTTGATTAGCTTAGTGGTCCTCTAACCATTAGATCTCCTTAATTGCCTGGAACCCGTAAGTCACTCAGCCAAGAGTTTATAACTGCCTTAGACTTTACTTCCTCATTCTGCAGAGGCTCAAGGTAGCCAGTGGTGAGAGCTTAGGGCTTTCTAGATCTTACCTGAGCATGCACACAGCACTGGGCATAAGCACATCCCTATGCATATGAATGGCCTTCTAGACTCCCAGGAGTACGTCACAGCCTTTCAAAGCCCCCTGTAGCCATCTCATAGTAACAGAAAGCAGATCAGTGGATGCCTGGGTCCAGTAGTAGCGGGACGGTTGCACAGGAAGTGATGAAAATGTTCTGCAACTTCACTGCGAGGGAGGTTACACAGGTACATACATTTGTCACCTCACGTTGAACTTTATACTTTAAACACAGTTTATATATAAATTATACCTCAACAAAGCTGATGTTTTTAAAGATGTAGTTTAAAAACGAAACAAAAAACGTGGTTTGCAGGAGACACCTTGCTCGTGATCCTCTAAAACACAGGTCTCCACTCAGATACCTGCAGGATGAGGACAGGGTGGGCGAGGGAAAGGAGCCAGAGCCCTCCAGGGGTGTGAAGCAGCTTTTCCTGGGTGGGGCTTGGCGTGCTGCGCTCACTCTCCCTGGAGGAGGAAGTGCCTAATCCAGTCCTCTGGGTCTGGGCCCAGGAGATGGGGCCTTAAAGCCTCTCTTGGTAAAGACTAGCCCTGTGGGAACAAACAGGACACCCTCTCCTCTGATTCTGTATCTTCTAGGGGCTCCTACTGTACTTCAGGGATACCTGACCTGAGTTGCAGTCACATTAGCTCCTGGAAAGCCAGGACAGCCCATGTTGAACCCCACTTACTACTGCTGAGGACTGTGCGCCCTAAGGGGTTTGGGGCCTCTGCTCTTGCCACTGGCCTTGGAACACGTGTGGCAGTTCTTCTGCCTCACCCTCACTCTGGGGCATGGCCCACTCTGCCAGGGCATCTGACATGTTCTTTGTCCCTGGCTCAGTTTGGGGGCAGCCCAGTGTCCTGCGCTGTGGGGCTGGCCGTCCTGAATGTCTTGGAGAAGGAGCAGCTCCAGGATCATGCCACCAGTGTAGGCAGCTTCCTGATGCAGCTCCTCGGGCAGCAAAAAATCAAACATCCCATCGTCGGGGATGTCAGGTGAGGCTCTGGGGGCAGCAGTCACCACCCACCTGCCAAGGCCCAGTGTGGTACCATTTTCTTCACCTCCTAACAACCTGGGATGGTGGGGTTATGTCCGCTCTCAAGAGGAACTGAGACACTGAGAGGTGCTATTGCCCAAAACGGCTCTCCTGGGGAGGAGAAAGCTAGGACATGACCTGATCCCTAGCTACCCCTGAGCCTCTCTCCTCTGTCCACACCAAAGATCTCTCCCAGCCCAGTTATTCCCTGAAACTATTCTCACCACCTTCTGAAGGTGCCTCCTGCACTCAGCCCCCTCAGGAGGCACAGGTAGGAGCCCAGAGGCTGAGGCCAGCACCCTGGCCCCTCAGGCCTGGCCTCCTGAGATGTCGTCACCTTCCCTTGCAGGGGTGTTGGGCTCTTCATTGGTGTGGATCTGATCAAAGATGAGGCCACAAGGACACCAGCAACTGAAGAGGCTGCCTACTTGGTATCAAGGTATTTTCTTCTTGAAACAAGTTGCTTCCTGGAGTAGGAGACACCACAGGTACCTCTTTGCAGGGCCAGTGGAAAGGAGCCTCATCTGTACCCCCAGCACTCTGGGCCACAGACTTGATTGAAAGAGGGCTGGGGCTGGCGGGTGGGGGCAGTTGTTGGGGGACAGCTGATCCTATCAGCTGAGGACAGAGATAAGTGGTGTTAGCAGTTCTGTACCCAGTGCCTGACTACAAAGGCTGCAGATGAGACACAGGCTATTCCCAGACCAGAGCAGCACCTCTGCCTAGAATGCCCAAGCTAGCAGGGCACTCAGACCCAGGAACCCCTAATGCCACCTTGGCCTGGAGAAGGGAAACACCTTCTCTATTCATACCAGGGAGCTGTGGCAGCACTAGACTCAGGGTTCCCATGCCGCACGACAGGTGGTTGGGATGGACAAGACTCCTGCTCCTAAGCTGGGTCGGGGGTGTCTCAGAACTCAGACTCCACCGGTCCCAATGCCCTGGTTTGCTTGTCCTTTCACTTGGACCCCAAGTCCTCAGGACTTCTTCTCCTTCTAGTTGAATTGTTATTCCCTTTTATCTCCATTCCCCAGGCCTACCCCTTCCCCCACGCCCACCATGGAAAGCTCTTCTGGTATTTGACGTGTCCTTATTCAAATTGTGAGACACGCGTGGTATTGATGTAAATCTCTGTGCTGTATTTGAACTTGGCCTTTCCTGGTCCCGCCTTCTCTCTGCTGTCAGTCACATCCCCAGCTTACTCCTACCCCCCTCCCAGGAGCCTCAGGGATTCGGAATGGTCAGGTGGCATGGAAGGAAACAGATCCCAAGTTCAGCCCGTGTCTCACAATACCCTGGGGGTGCTTTTCCAGTTCAGTGAGGAAATGGGTAAGTCACCTGCAGTTACCCTGCTAGGTGGCAAGAGCTAGATCTGGCCCCAGGGCCGTCTAACTCCAAAGTCCAAGCCCTGTTCTTTCTGGCGTGGCCATGGTCAGTGCCAGGAAGACTGGGACAGGAAAATGAAACCAGAAGGCACACTCCCCACCCCCAAGAAATAAAAATAACAAGGTTTACAAAAGAAGGGGAACAATGATCAAAGAATATAAACACAATCATGCAGACCCCTCATCTCAGAGATGAGGTTAGACTGTGGACTAAAAGTGATTATTAGCTACAAATGATGTTAAGATAAAGCCATCTTCCTAAGAATAATTGGACATTTTAAACTGGAATTGTAAGATAACCCGGAAGACAGGGCAGGAAGATGCCTGAAGCTGGTGAGGGGCACGTGGAGCTCATTACACCAACTGCAATGTTGGACATTCTCTATATAAGGAAACAATATACATCACGTAAACCACACAGAAAACCAGAGAATGCAGGTGACTCTTGCAGTCTGGCGTTTCCCTGTGGCCATTCATTCTTGGCTTGGACTGTGGCTCCAGGGTTAGGTGAGGCAAGGTGCCTGTTCTGTGGGGCAGCAGGCTCAGGGCCAGGTGCAGTGCACTCCAAGCAGGCTGCTGTGGGCCAGATGCACAGGACTCTGGGAGAGGTGACCAGTAAAATGACCTGGCAGGAACTGGCCCATGGAAGGCTCTGAGGACAGTGTGGCTGGAGCACTGGACATGAGGCCAAGGCCAGGCTGAGGAAGGCCTTGAAGGCCATGTGAAGGGGTGTCCTGTCCTCACAGGCTGAAGGAGAACTACGTTTTGCTGAGCACTGATGGCCCTGGGAGGAACATCCTGAAGTTTAAGCCCCCAATGTGCTTCAGCCTGGACAATGCACGGCAGGTGGTGGCAAAGCTGGATGCCATTCTGACTGGTGAGCTTGAAGCCTGAGCTTGGCCATATCTCTAGAACTCAGCCTGAAGCCAGCAACTAGAGCCTCCTAGCATGGAACAGGGAGGGGACAAGAGTCCAAGAGCAGAGGCACATGTCCTCTGGACAGGGCAGGGAGCAAGAGAGGGTCTTTCATGGCCCAATCTGCTCCTATTCCTGCCTGTACCTAAGAGAGCTTCCTGGGCTGTCAGGAGGTGGAAGGTGAGCCACCACCCAGCCTGCCTGAGCAGGCATCAGATGTATGCAGGACAAAGCAGTACTGGGCCTGAGAAACAGGCCATAAGAACTACAGTGGGAGTTGAGACCCCATTACCGCCAGCCTAGGATGTAGAGATGGCAGGAGTTTCATTCTGTACATGAGACAGGTCACACAAGGCTGCTGGGTGGCTGAAAGATTGGTACCACTGAGGACTGACGGAACTCAAAATGAAAACTCTACCCCACATTCCCCATCACCTAGGATGGTCGTGGTCAACCCAGGGTTCCCCCTAAATCCACTTACAAGGAAATCTCATGGCTGTGTTGCCATTTACAGCTCAGTGAGACCCTAAATAGGCACAGTTGCATCTCACAGTAGAGATCACAACTGCCAGCCAAGCAACCTGTGCCCTCCTACCTCTGGGTGATCACTGCTACCCACAGGTATGCTTAATCCCAGGGCTCTGGAGCTGGGGGAGGCCCATCCCTGCTAGACACAAATTGGAAGTGGTAGGGATATGATGAATAGGAGTGTGTTTGTGGAGAGCAAAGGCTGGCCACAGAACAGGCTTAGGGATCCTGGACAGAGCCTACAAATCTCAGGAGAACTGAGGGCTGGCTTTGTTTTTCAGGAAACTGCTGCCACCCCTTTGGGGAATGGGACATGGGTGTGGATAGCCAGAGGGCCCAATCTCTAAACTGTCCTCCAGTTTGGACACTGAAGTCAACAGGGCATCTTCAGCAGAGAAAGGTGACTGAGTCGGCATTGCTTTGTGGTCTTTTTCAGACATGGAAGAGAAGGTGAGAAGTTGTGAAACGCTGAGGCTCCAGCCCTAAGCCAGCCCTGCTCTGCCTAAGTGTACTCCAGGTGAGTGGGCCTTGCTTCTTACTCTTGAAGATGCACAGCGGGTTCCTTACCATCAGCAGCAAGCAGCCTCGGCAAGCTGAGCCTTTTTTTAAGACTTTTTTTTGTTCTGACTGATGCTCCTTCCCAAAGGTTAGTTTCTTCAACACTGGAAATTCTCCAATGCTTAGCTTGCACTTGATGGCAGGAACAGCTATATCCTCCCTTGAAACCTATGGGGCTGTATCCACGTGGAACCCCAACCCACCCTTGCCTCTTGTAACCACCTAGTCTTATGCCCTAAATACCAGACCTGGAGTTGGGCTCCAATCCAGCCAATAAACATCCCCTGCCAGAGCAGGCTTTTCTTCACCAGCCAGGAGGAGCACTATTGTGCCCCAATTCAGACGGCCCTGGCACTGCCCTAGTGTGTAAAGAATCCCATTTTTTCATTCATCAGCCAAGAAGGTTGGTGTTCCAAGGTGTCCCAGGAGGGGACATGCCTGCTGGGGATGTAAGCCCTCATCACTGCCCCATCCTCACTCCCCATAGGCCTCTCATTCCTTTCTTTGAAGGGGGGCTCAGCCCTAGGCAGGGCAGTCCTTAAAGGATACCCCCACAACTGGGCCTGCAGCTGGAAGAGCCTGCTGCAGGAGAAAGCCCCAAGTCCAGGGCACCTGGCACCCCCCCCCCGCCTCCCTCGACCCTGAGCAAGAGGTCTCACACAGCATATCCCACACTCACCCAGGCTTGGGGGTTTTTAAATTTTATTTCAAAAGCTTGGATAGCTTCAATATCCAGGTTGTGGCAAAATCAGGACACGTGTAAAATACCTTACAATACATTAGATTCCCAAAAGGTACCAAAAAGTACAGTAAAATTAACACTTCCGTTACAGGAAATGTATGACGCAAATAATATAAAATTAAAAGGTGAAAAAAAGGTGACACTGGTTTCCTAAGATACAATTTACTCTTTACAACCAGGGTCCACAGGTCCAGGCTGCAGAGCGGCAGCAGGAAGCAGAGCCTCCCACCTGCTTCTGGGGGACCTGGTAATAAAAATCAGCCCATGATGGCGCTATGGCCTCTCAGACACCACACGCTGCCTAAACACCTAGAGCTCTGGAAATAGTCAACAGGAGAGTGATTTCCATGGGGGAAATTTTAAATAAGATGCACATGGGACAGGCAATAGAAAGTTTGCCAAGTTAAATTTGGTACATAATTGTGTTCACTCCATATCCAAACAAAGCATGTGTGCGATCAGTTGGTCGCTCCTGCTGCCGCCTCAGTATGGCTTGTAGTTATTCTGATGGCCACCACGTCGCTGGCTCTTGCCGTAGTTTGTACTACCCTGACCTAGGGACGAGAACAACCATAGCAGCTACTATTTACAAGCATTTGCCCTGTGCCACGCGCTTGATATGCATCTTCCCAGGACCCTCACCAGCCGTGACAGCAGAGACTGCCTTCCTCATGTTATTAAGACCCCGAAGTCTAAGGCTCAAAATCAAGTAGCTCCCATGGCTGAGCCAGGCCTGTCTGACTCCAAAGCCCCTGCTGCCAGTGGCTCCTACACTGTCCTGCCTCCCCTGGGGACGAGGGGTGAGCGGATGGGGCCTCCCTCTCTCCTACTTACTGTAGTCGTAGCCGGGGCCGTAGCCGTAATAGCCATAGGGCGAGTAGTCGTAGCCGCCATAGCCAGGCCCGTAGCCCTGCTGGTAGCCGTAGCCCTGGTTCCAGTAGTTGCCGTAGCCCTGATTCCAACTCTGACTCTGACCTGTGGGGGGAGCAGGGCACAGGGGCCCGTGGACCATTTAGCATACGCAGGAGCTAGGATGGAGGAAATCCTGCCCTTTGGGGTGGCAGGGTTACTGTGGCAACTCAGGCAGAAGCCAAGGGGCTGCTGTTCTGGTGTATAAGGGCCCTGGGCCCAACCCTGCATCTGAGAGACCCAAGCAGAGGATCAGAGACCAGGATGCTAACTTTACTTGGGGCAAACAAGGCAGCTCACTCACTCAGTCACTCTCTGATCACTCCCACTCTCCTTGGCAGCTTAGCCTTTAAAAAGATGCAGTTCAGGCTTTGGAGTCAGAGGGGCCTGGGATGGAAGGGGATAAATGCCTGGCACAGCTCTGCCCTACCCACCCTTCTGCCTACCTGCTCACAGGTGTACCAGACTCAGGACATCCACAAAGCCAAGACACCCATCACATCCCCTCCCCCAGAGTGTAACACAAATGCTCTCTCTGCCCTGGGCACCCAAGCCATTCCAAGGGGCAGCAGCAGGCAACAGCCTCAAGCATACAGCCCTGACCCAGAGCCGTTCCTATTCCTGTTCGTCCCCAACCTCACACAATCTGCCCACCCCTGCTGCACAGCACCAGAGGGAGCCCCAAGACAGGCTTGGAAGGCTCCATGTAGGCAGGGAAACAGGACCTATCTTCATCCACGTTCCACTCACCTCCACCTCCACCACCACCTCCGCTGCCTCGGTTCCCTCGGTTGCGGTTTCCACGGCCCCCAGAGCCATACTGCTGCTGCTGATAGACTTCTTTGGGCTGGGCCACCTTGATCTCACACTAAAAGTCAAGAGGACAGTGGTCAGGCCAGTAGGACAAACTCAGGGCAGTGACTGCCCAAACACCTTCACTGCGACAAACATCAAATGGTGGATCAGGTCCATTTGCTGAGAAACAAAATATGCTAGTATGGGAGGCCACCTTTGGGCTAAAGCTCATGGAATCCCAACTAAAACCAAAGGCCTTCCAGCAGAGAACCCTTCCGACAGAATGCACTTGAGATGGGCATCTCAGCCCCAGAGCAACTCCGTATCTAATGGAGGCAGGCAACTGGGCCAACTGCAGCCCAGGGGAGCAGAGGACAGGCTGGGACCAGGCACCACACCTTGGTCCTGCTGGGCTAGAGGGTCAGACAAGACTTCTCAGATGAGGGGCCTTAGACAATGAGGTTTTAACATCTTTTTCTCTTTACAGAAGAAACTCATCTCATCCAAATACACGCTATTGAGAAGGCGAGCCTGACCTCCCTCTTACAGATAAAGTCAGCTTTCAGAGGCTCAGGGTGGGGGGGCCTGCCCGAGGCCATAATGCTACCCACCCCCTCCTCCTAACCACTGGTCTGTTGGAATAACCCAGATGTCTGCATCCCCTCAAGTCAGTCAATTTCCTTTCTGTCCACTGGGGGTGGAATGGGGTAGGGTGGGATACTTTAAAGTGCTCCTGCTTAAATAAATTAGACCAGACCAGTGTATTTCTAAAGAAAATCCTGACATGCACACCCATTAAAAATAGTACATTTTACAGTGTCCCAGTCATACTTTTAATTGGCAAATTAAAATAATGCAATCTGATATATTCTATCCTACTAAATTAAAAATACTGAATATAACCAACTAAATATACTTACTCCTAAGACTCACTACCAGTAGTTTCACTTAAACTCTGCCTTAGAGGCTCTTCCCACCCATTTCCCATTATGGCACATAGAGAAAAAGGCCTCTATCACTGTCCACTGGAGTAATAACCACTGCTTCCCCTAACTGCCTCAAAGACTGTCATTTTATAGAAAATTTAAGACTATCCTAATCCACTCTTTCCAAACTCCCAGCCAGGATAGAGACTTCCAGGAGTTCCACCTGTCCCACCTTATCTGGCTGCCAACTCCTGCTCAGAAACAGAACCTGCCACACCCTGCCACTGCAGGCCGCACCCTCAACTCCCAACTGCCAACTTGAAGCCTGAACTACCCTTTCCCTGACCAGAGTTCAGGAGGGGAAGAGCTACACCTCCCTGCACATGAATCCACTCATTTGAAAGCACAACTGACCCTGGATTTAAGCTGGCCAGGACCCTGGGAGATCTTTGGAAGGATTTTTGCCTGGGTTTAGGGTTAACTTAAAGAGGTGCCCAGAAGACCAAGTGAGGCAGTTCATGCCTGTAATCCCAACACTTTACAAGGCCAAGGCAGAGGATGGCTTGAGCCCAGGCAACATGGTGAGACCAGGCTTTAAAAAAACATATGAGCCAGGCATGGTGGTACATGCCTGTGGTCCCAGCTACTCGAGAGGCTGAGATGGGAGGATCCGGTCCGCCCATGAGGTCAAGGTTGCAGTGAGCCATGATTGTGTTACCGCACCCCAGCCTGGACAACAAAGCAAGACTCTGTCTCAAAGCAAAAAAAAAAAAAAAAAAAAAAAAGTGCTCAAAGTGGATGGAAGTGGACAAAGACTTGGTTGTAGAAGGAGGTAGAAAGGCTCTGGAATAAGAAAAACTTCACCACAGAGGAGAATCAGTGAGTTGCAGAAGTTCTAGGATCTTCTGAGACCTTAAACTGCAGGCTTCATACCCCTGGACTCAAGAATCTAGAACTGTCACCTCTAGCTTTAAGTGAGGAGCTAAAGAGGCTACTCAACCTGCTCTATTCACAGAGGCCACCTTCTCCTACCTCCCTCACATCCTGTGTTGTTTATTGGCAGTCCTCCCAGCCTGAGAAGTCTTTCAAGGATTGGAACACTGCCCCAATCAGGGCAGCATACGCTTCAGAGAAATAGTAAAGTCTGACCAACCTGGAGAGCTCCTGCATGAGGCCCAACCCCTAACCCATCCCTCTAAGGGCCAGCTCTCCAGCAGCACAGGAGGCCAAGCAGAGCTGGGAACACCTTACCTTGCTTCCACTGACAGTATGGAACTTTTTCTCCAGAACCTTCTTCACGGGTTCTTCTTCTTTAAAGGTGATAAACACAAAACCTCGTCTTTTGTTCAACTTTGGATCCATTGGCAATTCAATGGCCTCAATCTGCAAAAAGCATAGGCAAACTCAGGCCCAATACCTCCCTACCCCAGAGCATATAGGGGACTCACAGGAGAAAAGACCCCATTGAAGACAGAGGGTGAAAAATAAGCCCTGCCTGGGAGGGTCTAGCCAGCCAAGGATACCAAGGACCAGAAAGAAGGCAGCCTTAGGGGCAGCTGATGGGCTATTCCCAGAGCCACACTCACCTCCCCAAACTCGCCAAAGTACTCCCTGATCTTTTCCTCAGTGGCTTCAGGATTCAGACCCCCAACGAAGATTTTCTTCACCGGGTCCTTCTTCATAGCCATGGCCTTTTTAGGGTCAATGACACGGCCATCCAGCCTGTGCTCCTTCTGGTCTAGGACCTGTTCCAACAGAAAGGGGTCAGGCTGACTCAGCAGCACGAGCCAGACAAGGCCCTTCTCTCTAAGCCATAAAGACACCAGTACAGATACAAACATGTGTTTCACCCCCTCCAAATTCTACCCCAGCTTAACCTCCCAACCCAATTTTCATCAAACCTCAAGTACAGCTGGTTTACCTCGACACCTAGAAAACAGTCCTCACACTTAAGCCTTTGATCATGCTCTTCCTGCCCAAGCAGTCCCAGCGTGAGGCCCATCTCCAGAAGCGAAGCAGCAGGGACTCGGAGCATAGGCTGAAGATGGGCCACAGGGGAAGGAATCCTCCCTCCACTCCCTACTAGCTGTGACCTCTTCTACTTACATTTCTGAGCCTTAGGGTTTTGGTTTTTGTCCTGTAAAATGGGGCTAAAAGCCTATCATACCAATCATGGACTCTCTTGTAATCCTCCCAGATGTTTAGCGCCGTACCCAGAATAGGCACATAAAAGGTAATGAATGTCAACTGTCATCTTCCCGAACCACTCCAGCACATTCTCTCACTCCCAGCTTAATCTGTATTTTCATCCCCTCAAAAACCGGAACATAACCTCCGGCTTTGGGTTTTGCCCAAAGCACTTAAATCACATGCAGACCACACAAACTAGTCATGCTTTAAGAAAGGTGTCCTCTTAGAATTCAAATCGTTTCCACTGAGACTGCTGAAATCCAGTACCCAGCTTACCTTCTCCACACTGGCTGCATCTTTGAACAGGATAAACCCAAACCCTCTTGACCGTCCAGTGTTGGGATCCATTTTTATTGTACAGTCAACGACCTCTCCAAATTTAGTAAAATAGTCTTTTAAATCTTTTTTGCTAGTATCCCAGCTCAGGCCACCAACGAACATTTTTCTGAAATGGTAGGGTGAGACACACGGCAACAAGTCTTGTAAGCAAGCTGTGATTTTGGAAAGGACTGGCCCTGGCAAAGTTCTCACGAAGTCTACAGCTACCCTTAGAGTCTGCAAGGAGCACCTTAGAAAGATGTTAAATCTCCACTACCCTCCAAATTGAACTCAACCAGGACCCTAACGAGGCTTAACAAGGCTCTGCAGCCCCAGCCTGTGAGAAGCAAAGAAGGGACCACCTCACCAGGGGTATGGGACCTAACCACTCATAACTGGAAATTCATGTGTTCTACAACCATGTAGCAAAGGGCCAGCGTCTCCACCAACTCCTGAGAACTCGTTTCAAGGAACTCGATGTTTCCGGGGACCAAGCCCGCCCAGGGTTCAGACCGTGACTCCGCCCCCGGGAGAGGCGGAGGAGGGAGGTCCGGGCCCCGGCTCGCGCCAACTCCGCCCACGCAGCCGCCGGCGCGGCCCAAGACGCCGCCGGGCCCCGGGTCCGAGCGCTTTCCCTCTTCCGGGCCATCCGCCCGCCCCTGCGCCGGCTCCGGCCCTGGCCCTGGCCCTGGCAGCGCGCGAGCGGCCCCGGGGCGGCGCCAAAGTCGACCCAACAAACTCCCGCAAACTCCAGCGCGAGTGGCAGCGCCAGGCCCGGCCCGCGAACGCAGCGGCGACAGTCCGCGGGCCGCACCAGCCCCGACCCGGGCCAGGCCGCCGCCCCTCCCCCCGCCGCGTGGCGCCAACAAAAGGCGGCCCCGGAACAAAGGCGGCGCCCCCGTCCGCCCGCGGCCGCACCTACCCCGCGTCCTCCTCGTTCTTGCTGGCGTTGATCTGGTCGCCCTCGGCGCCGTTCTGATTCCCGCTCGGGGGCGCCGCGGTCGCGCCTCCAGCCCCCGCCGCGGCGCCCGTGCCAGCCCCGGCCGGCGACTCGCCTTCGGGGACGGCCTCATGTCCGTTCTCGGTGGCGCCCGTCGTCTCCATGGGCTGCTCCTCGCCCGCTTCCGACATGCTAGGCCGAGGCGCGGCGGCTCCTGCAACCAGCGGCGACAGCGCGTCAGGCCGGCGCGGCTCCCGCCAGAGCTCCCGCCCGCCGGCCGCCGCTCACCTCGCCGCCGATGACGCCGCGGGGCCCGCTCGTCCCCACCCGCAGGGGAAGGCGCCGCAGGCTCGGCCGCACTCAAGCTCGCGCTGCTGAGGCCTCGCCCCAGTCAGCCCACGGAGCTGCTCCAACTGTGTCTCCTCCTCCTTGGCCGCCGCCGCACGGGAACCCACCGACCAACAGCCAAGCTCCGTCCCGCGCGGTGCCGCCGCCTGACAATGCCGACTCGTGGCGCCCTTTATAATGCCGGAGCCGGGTGCCACATCGCAACAAACTGCACACTCATTGGCTGCTCAAGTCCGTCACTCAACCTAGCTTCAGCGTCCCATTGGCCGCCACGGCGCGCGCGCTCTAGACCTGGGCGGGCTTTGTCCTCATTTTAGAACGCGCGCGAGTCCGGCCGCTACGGAGGGCTCCCGAAGCCGGGCGGGACGGCGCCGGGTCCAGGGCGGCGGGCAGCTACAGCACATCGGTGGGAGGGCCTAATCGGATTGTAAGCTCGTCGAGGCCGCTGGTCTCTTGCTCTCGAGGACTCCATCCCAGCATTGGCAGCCTCCGCCTCCCCATGTCCCAAAAGAGGAAACTGGGCTGGAGAAAGTTTCGCAGCCCAAGGACGCGTGGCTGGAAGTGGCAGAACCCGGGCTTCCGAGGTTGGGCGAGTGGGGTCCTCCAAGGCCCTCAGCACGGGTCGGAGGGATTGGGACTGAACCCGCCATCCCCCTGGACCTTGGTGCCCTCCAAGCCCCGCGCTCGCGCCCTGTCCGTCGCCTCCCCCAGAGATGCTCTGCAGGGACGATGAGACCTTGGTGTTCCCCGGTTCTCTGTCCCCTGGCACCACCTGAACGATTGACATCGCATTTGTACTTTTGTTTACTTAAATTTTTTCCTGTAAATCATTTGTCTTTCTTTTTCTTCCTTTTTATTATTTTTTTTTTTTTGATGGAGTCTTGCTCTTGTCGCCCAGACTGGAGTGCAATGGCGCGATCTCGGCTCACCGCAACCTCCGCCTCCCGGGTTCAAGCGATTCTCCTGTCTCAGCCTCCCGAGTAGCTGGGATTACAGGCATGCGCCACCACGCCCGGCTAATTTTTTTGTTTTTTTAGTAGAGACGGGGTTTCACCATGTTGGCCAGGATGGTCTCGATCTCCTGACCTCGTGATCCGCCCGCCTGGGCCTCCCAAAGTACTGGGATTACAGGCGTGAGCCACCGCGCCCGGCCTTTTTTTTTTTTTTTTTTTTTTTAAACAAATACGGAGGCCGGGCGCGGTGGCTCCCGCCTGTACTCCCAGCACTTTGGGAGGTCCAGGCGGGCGGATCACGAGGTCAGGAGATCGAGACCATCCTGGCGAACATGGTGAAACCCCGTCTCTACTAAAAATACAAAAAAATTAGCCGGGCGTGGTGGTGGGCGCCTGTAGTCCCAGTTACCGGGAGGCTGAGGCAGGAGAATGGCGTGAACCCGGGAGGCGGAGCTTGCAGTGAGCCGAGATCTCGCCACTGCACTCCAGCCTGGGCGACAGAGCGAGACATCGTCTCAAAAACAAAACAAAACAAATACACCACTCGTGAACTCACGAGGTAAAGGACAGGGTGGGGGCGTTGTTCTCTTCCTAATACACAAAACTCCTTTATATTATCTCCTTGACCACAAAATTTTAAAGGCCTCGGTAATCCCGTTATTCCTTTTAATCATATGGGTGGTGGGCCCCAAGGCAAGCAGGATTACAACCTCTGGAGCCTGCAGGTTACCAAATAGCAACCCAGAACACAAGGAACTAGCGTTTCCAGTGGATTCCTGCAGCCAGGACCAGTGTGGTGGGCTGGGCATTCCATTTTCTCTTCTGTATCTTAACAACCAAAGTAAGGTGGTATGGTCACCAATTTTATTTATTTTATTTTTTGACACAAGGTTTTGTTCTGTAACCCAGGCTGGAGTCCAGTGGCACGATCACGGCTTACTGCAGCTTCAACCTCCCGGGCTCAAATGAGCCTCCTGCCTCAGCCTCCCAAGTAGCTGGAACCAGAAACGTGGCCACCACGCCAAGCGAATTTTTTGTAAACACAGGGTCTCCCTATGTTGCCCAGCTAGATCACCAGGTTTTTTTTTTCTTTGAGACGGGGGTCTCGCTCTGTCGCCCAGGCTGGAGTACAGTGGAGCCATCTCAGCTCACAGCAACCTCCACCTCCCAGGTTCTAGCGATTCTCCTGCCTCAGCCTCCTGAGTAGCTGGGATTGCAGGTGTGTTCCACCATGCCGGGCTAATTTTTGTATTTTTAGTAGAGATGGGGTTTTACCATGTTGACCAGGCTGGTCTTGAACTCCTGATCTCAGGTGGATCACCAATTTTAAATGAGAAAACTGAAGTCAAGAGCAGCGGCCCAAAGCTACACAACCAACTCAGGCACTAACTCCACCCAGGCACTGGAGTTGCCCTGAGAATGAAAAATGAAGATACGTGGATTTCAGGCTTCTCTAGGAAAGTCCGAAGATTTAGCTCACACTGTACTGCCTTCCCCCAAAGTAACAATCAAGTGCAGCTGGGATACCCATACCCAGGTGGGCAAGTGCCCTCTGGTTCACCCCAAGGCCACTCTTCACTGTCCCAGGCTAATTCCATAACAGGAAGTCACATATTTCCACACGACCTTACTCATGTCACTGAGATCTGGCAGCAAGGCTTTCAGGGCGGTCTCTAACAAACTGCTCACCCCACCTCCACCCCAGCCCTTGCCAACCCACAGAAATGAGGGCCAGGGCTGTGGCCTGCAGGAGATGATGGGCACAGCTCCCCAAGCAGTGAAGGTAATTCAGGAAATTAAGTTCAAAGTCAAATAGTGTAGGTGCAGCCCAAAGACATTACTGCAGGCATAAATTCCCTTAATCTTCCACGTGGATTTCTTTAGCACGACTCAGAAACACTTTCAGTGACGTGTAAAGTCTGAGGATACAACATTTGGACAGCGCTTAGCAGTTTGCAAAATGCTTTCACCAACCTTGCTTTACTGGAGCTTCAAAATAGCTTTGTGCAGTTACCCATATTTTATACACAAGAATACTGAAACCACAGCTAAAACTGTGGCCATGAAACCAACACGTCCAACTCCACATTGGGGATTGTTTCCAGGGCTCCTGGCTACTGTGGGACAAGGTGTGTCTGAGCTTCTGAGTTCCTTGATGTAAATTAGATCTCCTATCAAAGATCTAATTTATTCTGAGGCTCAGCTGGGCGTGGTGGCTCACGCCCGTAATCCCACCACTTTGGTAAGCCAAGGCAGGAGAATCCCATGAGGCCAGGAGTTTGAGACCAGCCTGAGCAACATGGTGGAACCCCCATCTCTACTAAAAATACAAAAAAAAGTCTGGGCATGGTGGCCCAGGCCTGTAGTCCCCCCTGCTCGGGAGGCTGAGGCACAAGAATCACTCGAACCTGGGAGATGGAGGTTGCATCGAGCCGAGATCGCACCACTACACTCCAGGCTAAGTGACACAGCGAGACTCTGTCTCAAAATAAATAAATAAATAAATAAAGAATCCTGAAGCTCAAATAAGGTAATGGCTTAGAAAACACTTCATAAACTAGAAAGAACTGCAGGCAGGTAGGGGTCAGTCTCAGCAAAAAATAAAAAATGCCGGGCCGGGTGCGGTGGCTCACGCCTGTAATCCCAGCACTTTGGGAGGCCGAGGCAGGCGGATCGAGACCATCCTGGCTAACACGGTGAAACCCTGTCTTTACTAAAAATACAAAAATTAGCCGGGCGTGGTGGGGGGGCGCCTGTAGTCCCAGCTACTCGGGAGGCTGAGGCAGGAGAATGGTGTGAACCCGGGAGGCAGAGCTTGCAGTGAGCCGAGATCGTGCCACTGCACTCCAGCCTGGGGGACAGAGCCAGACTCTGTCTCAAAAAAATGAAATTACATAAATAAATAAATAAAGCCTTCATATTGTATCCAAGGGTGTTTCTGCCAGAGGCAAGGCACCACACTGTTTGGGAAACAGCAGGAAGTCCTTTTGACACAAGCCTCCCTACTTTTGTTATTAGGTTCAGTTACAGACCCTGAGTAGAGGGCAATTCCATGACAGTGAGGTTCTCAAGTCAGCCAGGAGCTCAGTTACCCCTGAAAATCTCTTAAAAGGCCCATAGAGTATACACTCCCTGGGTTTGGGCTATTCAGAATATATGCATAAAATGTGGACAATCTCCAATCTAGGAAAGGACATACACAAAATGCTTTTGGATTGTTTTTTAATTACATGAATTGATTTTTCTCACATTCTTTTTTTCGGTTTTTTGGCTGAGCCTGCAAGGTGGAAGTTGCATGAGTTAACTACAAATATATCGTGCCTCTGCTGTGGCCAACTCCCGCTGCAGCCACTTTCCCCGCTCCACCAAACTCCAGCTCCCCTGCTTCAGAGGAGTCCTCTAGCCAGATGAATCTTTCTAAAACACAAGTCATAAGATCTGAGAGCTACAGTGAAAAAAGGAAAAACTGAAAATGCAAGTCCCATCTTGTCACTACCTCTGTGTGAAAACCCTGGCTGACTTCCCAGTGCTGTCAGGATGAAGTCTTAGCCTTGACTTCGGGTGAATACGAGTGGGACAGACAGTTGGGGCTCCCAGAAATCTGTGCCCCCACCTTGCCAGCCTCCCCTGCTGTGTGGTCTGTGAGTGGAAGAGTTCCTTTCAGGCTGGGGCCATGGAGACTGGGGGCCTTGTCCAGACTTCCCTTCACCCCGCGACCATGTGTTCTACACGGCTGAGCTACCTCATGGAGAAGAGCTGTTCGGCCCACATCAGATTTGACACAAGCTGAAAATGAACCTGTACTGGGCCTGGCACTGAGATTTGGGATTTTTTTTTTCTCTCAAACTGTAGCCTGGCCTACTCTCACCCTCCCACCTGGCCTATAAGGTCCAGCATGAGTCGCCTCAGCTGCACCTCCTTGCCACTCTCCACTCCAGCTGTGCTGAATTTCTTTTACTTCCTAGAACTCACCAGTGCCCTCCTGCCTTTGGGCCTTTTCACCTGCTGTTTTCTCTACCTGGAACAGTCTTCCCAAATGTCACCTAACTACTGTACACATTGGGAGTTGAATTGTGTGCCCCCGCAAAAGACATGTTCACAGCCGGGCATGGTGGCTTACTCCTGTAATCCCAGCATTTTGGGAGGCCGAGGTGGGCGGATCACGAGGTCAGGAGATCGAGACCATCCTGGCTAACAGTGAAACCCCGTCTCTACTAAAAATACAAAAAATTAGCCAGGCGTGGTGGTGGGCACCTGTAGTCCCAGCTACTCAGGAGGCTGAGGCAGGAGAATGGCGTGAACCCGGGAGGTGGAGCTTGCAGTGAGCCAAGATCATGCCACTGCACTCCAGCCTGGGCGACAGAGTGAGACTCCGTCTCAAAAACAAAAAAAAAGTTACGTTCAAATCCTAACTCCTGGTGCCTCTGAATGTGGCCATACTTGGAAATAGTCTTTTCAGGTGGAATCAAGTTAAGATGAGGTCAAACTGGAGTATGAGGATTAAAGGCCCATATGGGAGTAGGGTGGGCCTTTAATCCTGTATGACTGGTGAACTTTGGAGGGGGAAAGACAGACACACGGGAAAAATGCCACATGACCACGGAGGCAGAGATTGCAGTGATGCATCTATAGGCCAAGAAGCACTGAGGATTGCTGGCAACACCGGAAACTAGGAGCGGGGCAAAGATCCTCCCTTGAAGCCTTCAGAGGGAGCACGGGCCCTGCTGACAGCTTGATTTTAGACTTCCAGCCTCAAGAACTGTGAGAGAATACAGCTGGGTTGCTGTAAGCCACCGGGTTGCGGCACTTGATCACAGCAGCCCCAGAAACCAAACACAACATCCAACAGACTTCCTCCTCCTCCTATGGGAAGTGTTGTGTCATACCCCGAGGAAGGGTGCCCCTCAGAACATGGGCCACACTGTTGACATTGACTGTGAGCGCCCTGAGACCCTGCATCGGGTCTGTCTCCTCCACCCTGACTCCTACGGTGGGCACGCCAGTGCCTGCAGAATGAATACGAGATCTTTTTTTTTTTTTTTTTTTTTGAGACAGAGTCTCGCTCTGTTGCCCAGGCTGGAGTGCAGTGGCATGATCTCAGCTCACTGCAACCTCTGCCCCCTGGGTTCAAGCAATTCTCATGCCTCAGTCTCCCGAGTAGCTGGGATTGCAGGTGTGCGCCACCACACCTGGCTAATTTTGTACTTTTAGTAGAGACAGGGTTTCACTGTGTTGGCCAGGCTGCTCGCAAACTCCTGACCTCTGGAGTTCGGCCTCCCAAAGTGCTGGGATTACAGGCGTAAGCCACTTCGCCCAGCCCCAAATCTCATCCTGAATTGTAATCCCCATAATCCCCATGTGTCATTGGAGGGACCTGGTGGGAGGTAATCGAATCGTGGGGGCGGTTTCCCCCATGCTGTTCTAGTGATAGTGAGTACTCACGAGATCTGATGGTTTTATAAGCATCTGGCATTTCCCCTGCTGGCACTCATTCTCTCTCCTGCTGCCCTGTGAAGAGGTGCCTTCCGCCATGATTGTAAGTTTCCTGAGGCCTCCCCACCATGCGGAACTGAGTCAATTAAACCTCTTTCCTTTATAAATTACCAAGTCTCAGGTATTTCCTTATAGCAATGTGAAAACAGACTAATACTGTTTCAAACCAGCACCTTGTGGACTAAAGTTGACTCTTGAACCTACTTGCTTGCCCTGTACAGTGCTTTGTTCTGTTTTTGTTTTTGAGATGAGGTCTCACTGTGTCGCCCAGGCTGGAGTGCAGTCACTATTCACCTGCGTGATTGCAGCTCAGTGTAGCCTCAAACTACTGGCCTCAAGTGATCCTCCCGCTTCAACCTCCCTAGCAGCTGAGACTAAAATTGCACACCACCTCACCCAGTCCTACACAGTGTTTGGCTCATTTGAAAAAATTGTTTGCCAACATTTATGGATTATGACATTTCTTTCATATATACATATACACACATACACATATATATGTGTGTGTATATATACGTATATATGTGTATATGTGTATATATGTGTATATATGTATATATATAATATATACATATATATGCGTATATATGTACACATATATACGTATATATATACATGTATATACATATATATACACACACACATATATATACACATATATGTATATTTTTTAGATGGAGTCTCACTGTGTCGCCCAGGCTGGAGTGCAGTGGCATGATCTTGGCTCACTACAACCTTCACCTCCTGGGTTCAAGCGATTCTTGTGCCTTAGCTTCCCAAGTAGCTGGGATTACAAGCATGCACCACCACGCTAATTTTTGTATTTCTAGTAGAGAAAGGGTTTCCTCATGTTGGCCAGGCAGATCTCGAACTCCTGACCTCGTGATCCACCCGCCTCAGCCTCCCAAAGTGCTAGGATTACAGGTGTGAGCCACCGCGCCCTGCCGGATGATGGCATTTCTACACAAGGTTATACGTCCAGTTACTTTTGAAAAATTGTCAGCTAAGGTCACACTGGGCCACAGTGTCCTGTGTCCAGAATCAGTGGGAGCTGAGTCACAGTGACCCCCAGCGGATGAGGCAGGCACTGTCCAGCTAAACCCAGCCCCCACCATGTTCTAATGTCTTCCTCCAGGGTCCCACTAAACCTATTGACATTGACCAAGAGCATCTGAGATGTGGATCCCTAAGCAGACCTCCATGAAGTTCAGCTTCTTCATCTTTTTTTACATTTTTTCTGAGACAGGGTCTTGCTCTGAGTGCAGTGATGTGATCACGGCTCGCCTCGACCTCCTGGGCTCAAGTGATCCTCCCGTCTCAGCCTCCCACTTAGCTGGGACTACAGGCATGCACCACCACACCCAGCTTATTTATTTATTTAGCTAGGGACAGGGTCTCCCTGTGTTGCCCAGGCTAGTCTCAAACTCCTGGGCTCAAGCCATCTGCCTGCCTTAACTTCCCAAAGGGCTGGGATTACAGGCATGAGCCACAGCTCCCGACCTACTTCATCTTAAAAAAAAAGAGAATGGCACCTGTCTCTCCACCATCCTGCAGGGCTATGGGAGGACGGCTGCTAAGGGTTTAGAACAGCGCCCGCTGTGAGAGCTGCTGTGACTGCTAACAGCAACAGTGGAAGCATCCAAGGGAACATTCCTTTGCCTGCTGACACCCCCAGGCCCCCAGCCACCCCGCAACAATATATCTCAAAATACATCTCAAGTCAAATCCTTGAAACAGACAAGTAAGAGATCTGGAGAGAGAATCTGCTGGCGGCCTCCCTAAAATCACACATTCTTGCCACAGCCACCCCACGCCCTGCTGAGTCTCAGAGGCAGCCTCTGTCCATCAGAAACCAATCAGAAATGGCTAGAGCCCTATACTGGAATCAGTCCTTAATGAAGTATGTGATTCACATACAAAACCCTAATCCTCCCAGTTTCCTGGAGAGCTCACAAAGCTGCACACAGTGGGCACAGCTCACACAGGGGCCCGGCCTCATCTGCAACATTATCCCCTGTGTAGTCTTTGAAACTTCAGACTCCCTGACCTCTGGGGCTGGACTCTCACTTTTATGAAGCATTCTAGGCACCAGTCATTGGGACAGGGACAGATTTTAGGACTCACTACTGCAGATTAGGTGGGGAGAAAGCCTATTAAACCGGGAAATTTCTGTCTCCCTCTGAGAGGCAGCAGTGGCTCCTAAAAGAGGCTTTGTTTATGTTTATGTCTGCATTGCCACTAGGTCAGTGTGGACCTGCGGGCTCTTTCTTTGAGCCTCAGTTTCTTTTTTTCTTTCTTTTTTTTTTTTTTTTTTAGACAGGGTCTTACTCTCTGGCCCAGGCTGGATTGCAATGGTGTGATCTCGGCTCACTGCAACCTCCATCTCCCAAGTTCAAGCGATTCTCCTGCCTCAGCCTCCCTAGTAGCTGGGATTACATGCGCCCGCCACCATGCCCAGCTAATTCTTGTATTTTTAGTAGAGACGGGGTTTCGCCATGTTGGCCAGGCTGGTCTCAAACTCCTGACCTCACGTGATCCACCCACCCCAGCCTCCCAAAGTGCTGGAATTATAGGCATGAGCCACCGTGCCCAGATTGAGCCTCAGTTTCTTTTTTTTTTTTTTTTTTTTTGAGACAGACTCTCACTCTGTCGCCCAGGCTGGAGTGCAGTGGTGCAATCTCGGCTCACTGCAAGCTCCGCCTGCTGGGTTCACACCATTCCCCTGCCTCAGCCTCCGGAGTAGCTGGAACTACAGGCACCCGCCACCATGCCCAGCTAACTTTTTGTATTTTTTTTGGTAGAGATGGGGTTTCACCGTGTTAGCCAGGATGGTCTCAATCTCCTGACCTCGTGATTCGCCCGCCTCGGCCTCCCAAAGTGCTGAGACTACAGGCGTGAGCCACCGTGCCCGGCCGAGCCTCAGTTTCTGATTCCACAACAATTCATCTATTCACTCATGTATTTACTCAATTGAATTGTTGACGCTGCAATTGCCAGCAACATGCCCTTGACCTCCAGGACAGACTGGGTCTGTGAACTCTAAACCCTCATGCATAACTGTCCCTTAAACATCTTTACTGAGGCTAAGCAGGGGTTCTCCAGCAGAGATGGAAAAGAAGGGGTGCAGGCAGAGAAGACGACACAGCTCAGGTTCCAAGCTTGAGAAAGCAGAGGCTGCTTGGAGAACTGCAAGTTGCTCCACACGATGAAGAGGAGCTGGGACAGCGCGGCTGGGCAAGGGCTTTGGGTGCCACGACAAAGGGTTCAGATTTATCCCGCAGGAAACTGGAAGTCAGTGAATACTGCTATGGCGGTGGTCCAGTGGAGGAAATGGGAAGGAGGGGATGAACAGAGACATCGAGGAGGGTGAGTTGGCAGAACGTTGTGTTTGTGTGTGGTGACAACCCCCAACTCCATACATGGAGCAGGATGGGCAATAAGGCTGGAACACTGGACCAGAGCCGCTTGGTGGAGGGCCTTGGACTCAGAGGCTTGCTTCTCTCAAGGAGAAACCCTTTCACCCCCTGCTTCCTTGCTATGCCTCCTGCTGGTGGCACCAATTGTCTTGACCATTTTCTTCTAGTATATTTGTCCCTAAAGGCTAGAGAAGGATCAAGAAATGATGCATTTCCAAGATCAAGTCCAGACCTTTTGGTAACAAAGGCTGGCAGAGGGGAAAGTGAGCAGAGCAGCGCTGGGCTTCCAGCCTCCCCGTGCCAGGTCCTTTCACCTCCTCCACCACACCAGCCTTTGGTCTAATCAGACCCAAGGGAAAGAGACAAGGGGCACTCCGAGGTTTTCATCTTCCTACCCAAGTGCTGAGTCTGAAAGACCACAGAGACATAGACACAGAAAGCCTGCCTTTCTCCTGCCAGCCAAGAAATAGGAAGCCACAGACAGGACCATCCCCTCCGCACCTCCCACCTCCCTTCTCCCTGCACAGCAGAGGGGAAGGCAAAGCTGGCTCTGCGGGTGTGAACAGGAAACGCAAGAAGCCCCAGCTCTGGCCGTTCCCAGCACAGGGCCAGGCAAGGCAGGGCTCCCCAGGCAGGGCAGAGGAGGCAGCAGCGGGTGGGGTGTCGAGGACAGAGACTCAGCCTCCAGTCAACACAGGGAAACAGCCAGAGGCCTTCTCCTGCTGTGAAAAGAAAGGATTCTTGGCTTCTTAGGGCTTCATGCCGTGCATGTCTTAACATACAATTTTCATATTCTGCCAGTGAACTGGTCAGAGCCCTTCTCCAACAGGGGCCAGGATGTAGGCTTGGAGTGGAAGACAAATACATGCTGTGTGCTGATCCAGGTGGGTGAGAGACAGAAAGCCCTCAGGGCAGGGTCTCTCTCTTTCATACTCACCACTTGGCCAACTGCTTGGCAACATCTTGCTTTTTAAATTTTATTTATTGATTTATTTTTTATAGAGACGTGGTCTCACTATGTTGATCAGGCTGGTCTCAAACTCCCAGCCTCAAGCAATCCTCCTGCCTTGGCCTCCCAAAGTGCTGGGATTACAGGCATGTGCCACCATGCCCAGCCAACATCTTGCTTCTTGCCACCTGCCTTGCTGCACAGCCTCTTACAGATACCCTCAAACAGCTCAGTCCCCTACCCACAAAGCCTAACCACTCCCTCAACTCACTGCTGCAGAAGCTTCCTCAGTGTGTGCCTCCGTGAACCCTGCCCCTCCACTTCACCTTAATGAGATCCAGCTGTCCCTCCGTGATCCCACACTCCACTGCTGAACACCAGGCCACGCCCTTCCACTTCCCCCCGAGGCAAATCGGGGTCATCTCACTCGGGGCGCTCCACCTTCACTACTAGAGCAGCACTGTATACCAGATACGGATGCAAAACAGCCACAAGTGCAAACACACATGTCATTTAAATTTTTCTAATAGCCACATTAAAAAGTGACTCAACAGTGAGAAGATGCTATGGTTTGGATGTGGTTTGCCCCTACCAAAACTCATGTTGAAATTTAATTGCCAATATAACGGCATTGAGACGTGGGGGGACCTTTCAGGGGTGTTTGGATCATGAGGGATGGGCCTTCACGACAGGATATTAATGCAAGTCCCATAGAAGTGAGTTCTCACTCTCTTGGGTCTGGATCAGTTACCTTCAGAGTTGGGTTGTCATCAAGCAAGGTCGCCCCTCGTGTTTTCCCCCTTTCCTCCAGGTGCCTGGTCCGCCTTCCATTTCTCTGCCACATTTTGGTGCAGCACACAGCTCTCACCAGAAGCTGCCAGATGCAGCCGTCCAATCTGGAACTTCCCAGCCTGCAGAACCGTGAGCTAAATAAACCTCTTTTCTTTAAAAATTATCCAGTCTCAGATATTCGAACAACAGAAAGTGGACTAAGACAAAGTAAAAAAAAGTAAAAAAAAAAAGGGGGGGGGGTGAAGTTAATTTCAATAATATATTTTACTTATTCTGAGATATCCAAAATATAATCAACAAAAAGTTATTGGGATATTTTCTTTTTGTACTGTCTTCAAAATCTAGTGTGTATTTTACACCTAAGCATATTTTAATTCAGTACAGCCACACTTCTTTTTCTTTTCCTCCCTCCCTTCCCTTCCTTCCTCCCTTTCTCCCTCCCTCTTTCTTTTTTCTTCCTTTCTTATTTCTTATTTTCTTTCTTCTTTCTTTTTCTTCTTTCTTTCTCTTTCTTTCTTTTCTCTCTTTCTCCTCCTCCTCCTCCTCCTTCTCTCTCTCTCTCTCCCTCCCTCTCTCTCTCTCTTTTTCTTTCTTTCCCTGTCACCCAGGTTTGGGATGCAGTGTTGCAATCATAGTTTGCTGTAACTTGAAACTGCTGGGTTCAAGCCATCCTCCCACGTTAACCTCCAAAAGTGCTGAGATTACAGGTGTGAGCCATCGTGACTGTCCCTGGCCACATTTCAAGTACTCAATAGCTGCATGTAGCCAGTGGCTACTATGATGAACAGGGCAGATCTAGACCAGGAGTTGGCAAACTATGGCCCATAGCCCAAATTTTGCTTACTGCTTGATTTTATATGATCCCTGAACAAAGAATGGTTTTTACATTTTTAAATCATTGAAAAAAAAATCAGGCTGAGTGCAGTGGCTCACACCTATAATCCCAGCACTTTGGGAGGCTGAGGCAGGCAGATCACTTGAGGTCAGGAGTTCAAGACCAGCCTGGCCTTGAACATGGTGAAACCCCATCTCTACTAAAAATACAAAAAAATTAGCCAGGTGTGGTGGCATGTGCCTGTAATCCCAGCTACTTGGGAGGCTGAGGCAGAGGATCGCTTGAACCCAGAAGGCAGAGGTCGCAGTGAGCTGAGATCACAGTCTGGATGACAGAGCAAGACTCTGTATCAAAAATAAATAAATAAATAAACAAATAAATAAATAAATAATGAAAATAATAATATTTCATGACACATAAAAATTGTATGAAACTCAACTTTCAGCATCCATAAATTAACTTTGACATTCTGTCAATAGCAATCCCCCCAAATTATGGAAGTTGGTTTCATTTCTTGGTATGTACTTACCGACTTCATACCCTCGATTTTGCCTGTTGGCCCAAAGCATAAAGTATTTATTCTAGCCAGGCGCAGTGGCTCATTCCTGTAATCCCAGCAGTTTGGGAGGCCAAGGCAGGTGGATCACTTGAGGTCAGGAGTTCGAGACCAACCTGGCCAACATGATGAAACCCCATCTCTACAAAAAATTCAAAAAATTAGCCAGGCATGGTGGCACATGCCTGTAATCTCAGCTACTTGGGAAGCTGAGGCACAAGAATTGTCTGACCCTGGGAGGTAGAAGCTGCAGTGAGCCGAGATAGCGTCATTACACTCCAGCCTGGGCAACGAGAGTGAAACTCTGTCTCAAAAATAAAATAAAATAAATTAAAAATAAATAAATAAAATAGAGATCATAAGACTGACAAAACAGACTTTTTTTTTTTAGACAGAGTTTCGCTCTTGTTGCCCAGGCTGGAGTGCAATGGCATGATCTTGGCTCACTGCAACCTCTGGCCCCCGGGTTCAAGTAATTCTTCTGCCTCAGCCTCCTGAGTAGCTGGGAATACAGGCGCCCACCACCACATCCAGCTAATTTTTTGTATTTTTAGTAGAGATGGGGTTTCACTATGTTGGCCAGGCTGCTCTCAAACTCTTGACCTCTTGACCTCAGGTGATCCACCCACCTCAGCCTCCCAAAGTGCTGGGATTACAGGTGTGAGACACCGTGCCTGGCTCAAAACAGAATTTTTGTAGCAATAAGATGCCAAATTTCTACCTGACTCTGGTACATCACGTAACAGATAGCAGACCCTGAAGGGCATCAAAATATTTTACCCCAAAATATATTTATTTGACAATATTTTGAAATGGCCCTGCAAAGCTGTCTCCCATGGGGGAAATTTGCATCTGTAGAGAATTTCCATTAATGTAGCCAGGACTTTGTCAGATTTAGGAGAGATTCAATGAGAGTCTGAGACTTTTGAAGGTCTGAAAAGAGACATTCACTATCTATTCTGAGGGCTGCTACCTGGAGGCTTCATCTACGTAACAAGAACCTCAGCTTCCACAACCCCTTTCTTAACCCAAGCATTTCTTCCCACTGACTTCAACGCTTTTTTTTTTTTTTTTGAGATGGAATCTCGCTCTGTCGCCCAGGCTGGAGTGCAATGCAACCTCCACCTCCCTGGGTTCAAGCGATTCTCCTGCTTCAGCCTCCAGAGTAGCTGAGACTACAGATGTGTGCTACCACACCCAGTTAATTTTTGTACTATTAGTAGAGACAGGGTTTCACCATATTGGCCAGGCTGGTCTCGAACTCCTGACCTCGTGATCTGCCCTCCTTGGCCTCCAAACTGCTGGGATTACAGGCGTGAGCCACCATGCCTTCAACTCTTTATTTTATTTTATCTTACTATTTTTTTTGGAGATGGAGTTTCACTCTTGTTGCCCAGGCTGGAGTGCAATGGTGCGACCTCGGCTAACTGCAACATCCACCTCCCAGGTTCAGGCAATTATCCTGCCTCAGGCTCCAGAGTAGCTGGGATTACAGATGCATGCCACCACTCCCAGTTAATTTTTCTATTTCTAGTAGAGATGGGGTTTCACCATATTGGCCAGGCTGGTATTGAACTCCTGACCTCAAGTGATCCATCTGCCTTGGCCTCCCAAAGTGCTGGGATTACAGGTGTGAGCTACTGCAACTGGCCTGTTTTATTTTATTTTTGAGACAGGGTCTCATTCTGTCCCCCGAGTTGGAATGCAGTGTCACAGTCATGGCTCACCATAGGCTCGACCTCCTGGGCTTAAGTAATCCTCCCACCTTAGCCTCCCAAGTAGCTGGGACTACAGGTGCACATCACGATGCCCAATTAATTTTTAAAATTTTTTTGTAGACACCGGGTCTCACTACGCTGCCCAGGCTTGTTGAAAACTCCTGGGATCAAGCCATCCTCCTCGGCCTCTCAAAGTGCTGGGATTACAGATGTCAGTCATTGTACCCAGCCACTTCAACTCTTTAGACAAAGCTTAACTTTTTCAACCAATTGCCAATCAGAAAACCTTTGAATCACCTATGACCTGTAACTCCCCTGGAGTTGTCCTGCCCTTATAGGCTGAAGCAATGTGTACTTTACATGTATTGATTGATGTATTTGCTTGTAACCTCTGTCTCCCTAAAATGTATAAAACCAAACTATAACCCAACCATCTGAGGCACACTTTCTCAGGACCTCTTGAGACTGTACCCCAGGTCATGGTCACTCATATCAGCTGAGAATAAACTTCTTTTTTTTTTTTTTTTTTTGAGATGGAGTCTCGCTCTGTCACCCAGGCTGGAGTGCAGTGGCGCAAGCTCTGCCTCCCGGGTTCACGCCAGAGAATAAACTTCTTTAAACATTTTACAGAGCTTTTTTTTTTTTTTTTTTTTTTTTTTGGTCAACATAGACCATTCACCTGGCCCCTTAACTCCAACAGAAACTCCAGATTTGCCTTTGGAATCAGGAGGCTGAGCTTCCTGACTTCCCAACTCTGGGATTTAGAACAAGTCACTTTCCCTATTGAAACCTCTGTTTTCTTCATCTGGGAATGGGGCAGGCACTCACATAGGTTTGAGGAAGCCACAGGGCTGGTCACTCTTCACTTGTGTCCAGCGTCCCATCCACCTCCCTGGCATGACCTTGCCTCCCCCTGCAGCACTGGCCCATCTAGGGCTCCCCACACCTACATATCTGGCCCTGATGCCCCTCGCCAATCTCTGCCCCCACTGTACCAAAGATGGAGCCCCGCATGGCGACTCCTACATTGCTCTGGGGGCACAGACCTCCATCTGCCTGGAACAGCCTCCCACCTTCCTCATCAAGTCCTGTTTTCTTACAGGAAGACACCCACATGCCCCAGCCATCCCATCCCCAAGGACTGGCCAAGCAGTTCCAGCACACCCCTCGGGTGGTCTCAGTGTGTGCCCTTCTCCAGTTCCTCCGGGTCTGGGCCTGGGTCAGCCCTTTACACACACGGGGTTCCCAACAAGTAGCTTCCAGATGGCCTGGTGAGGCTGCAGGGCAAATTTCCAGGACCATGCCCCACTTCTCCACTCCATCCCCCAAGGACAAAAGCCTCCTCAATTCCGACATCCTAATCCTGCTGCCCCTGTCTCCACAGATCCTCCCCACAGAGAATCCCTGCCTATCCTGCCCAGGCCCTCTGCTTGCTTCTGCCTTCCCAGACCGGCTGCAGTGATCATTTCACCCAGCCATGGTCACTTTCACCATATTGGCCAGGCTGGTCTTGAACTCCTGACCTCGTGATCTGCCCACCTCGGCCTCCCAAAGTGCTGGGATTACAGGTGTGAGCAGCCACCGTACCTGGCTTGACTTCAAGTCTTTATTCTATTTTATTTTATCTTATTATTTTTTTCTGGAGACGGAATTTCGCTCTTGTCGCCCAGGCTGGAATGTAATGATGCGATCTTGGCTCACTGCAACTTCTGCCTCCTGGGTTCAAGCAGTTCTCCATTTCAGCCTCCCGAAAAGCTGGGATTACAGGCGTGCACCACCACACCTGGCTAAATTTTATATTATTAGTAGAGATGGGGTTTCACCATGTTGGCCAGGCCAGTCTCAAACTCCTGACCTCATGTGATCCACCCACCTTGGCCTCCCAAAGTGCTGGGATTATAGGCATGAGCCACCGAGCCTGGCCTATTTTATTTTATTATTTTATTTTATTTTTGTGCCTGGTCGCAAATTTACATTGGACTGGTTAGGCTCAAGCGTCTGGTACACACATTTTCCTTTGTCAGGTCTTGCAAATAAAACTTTGCTCCTAGGGAAGTGGTCCTTCTAAAACGGACCTTGGTTTTGGCTGCCAGATGAGAATTGCTTCCAGCAATGAAGAATGCTGTCCAAGGAGTTCAAGACCACCCGGAGAAACACAGTGAAACCTTGTCTCTAAAAGAAATTGTTTTAGGCCGGAGGCAGTGGCTCACGCCTGTAGTCCCAGCACTTTGGGAGGCCAAGGTAAGAGGATCACCTGAAGTCAGGAGTTTGAGACCAGCCTGGCCAACATGGGGAAACCCCGCCTCTACTAAAAATACAAAAATTACCCAGGTGTGGTGGCGGGCGCCTGTAATCCCAGCTACTCAGGAGGCTGAGGCAGGAGAATCACTTGAACCCGCGAGGCAGAGGTTGCAGTGAGCCGAGATCGCGCCACTGCACTCCAGCCTGGGCGACAGAGCAAGACTCCGTCTCAAAAAAAAAAAAAAAAAAAAATTGTGGGGGAGGGGTGCGGAGGTTGGAGGCGGCAGTGTCCGCTGCAACGGTTGGGGCTGCGCGTGAGAAGGTGGCGGTGTAGGCACCTGTGCTCGGGGAAGGCTGGCGGCGGCGGCCGGGCCATGGCCAGAGACCCCCTCCTCTGGGCTCCCTGAAGTCCTGGGGAGCCGTGACCCATGGGATCGTCGAGCAGCCGGGTGCTGGGCCAGCCGAGGCGAGCCCTTGCCCAGCAGGAACAGGGTGCCAGGGCCAGGGGCTCGGCCCGGAGGCCGGACACTGGAGACGATGCGGCGAGCTACGGCTTCTGTTACTGCCCGGGCAGTCACAAGCGCAAGCGGAGCAGCGGGGCCTGCCGCTACTGTGACCCGGACTCGCACAGGGAGGAGCATGAGGAGGAGGGGGACAAGCAGCAGCCGCTCCTCAACACCCCTGCAAGGAAAAAATTAAGGAGTACATCCAAATATATTTATCAAACATTATTTTTGAATGGTGAAAACAGTGACATTAAGATTTGTGCTCTAGGAGAAGAATGGCGATTACACAAAATATATTTATGTCAATCTGGCTACTTTTCTAGTATGTTCAGTGGTTCTTGGAAAGAATCCAGCATGAATATTATTGAACTGGAGATTCCTGACCAGAACATTGATGTAGACGCACTGCAGGTTGCGTTTGGTTCACTGTATCGAGATGATGTCTTGATAAAACCCAGTCGAGTTGTTGCCATTTTGGCAGCAGCTTGTATGCTGCAGCTGGATGGTTTAATACAGCAGTGTGGTGAGACAATGAAGGAAACAATTAATGTGAAAACTGTATGCGGTTATTACACATCAGTAGAGATCTATGGATTAGATTCTGTAAAGAAAAAGTGCCTTGAATGGCTTCTAAACAATTTGATGACTCACCAGAATGTTAAACTTTTTAAAGAACTCGGTATAAATGTCATGAAACAGCTCATTGGTTCCTCTAACTTATTTGTGATGCAAGTGGAGATGGATGTATACACCACTCTAAAAAAGTGGATGTTCCTTCAACTTGTGCCTTCTTGGAATGGATCTTTAAAACAGCTTTTGACAGAAACAGATGTCTGGTTTTCTAAACAGAGAAAAGATTTTGAAGGTATGGCCTTTCTTGAAACTGAACCAGGAAAACCATTTGTGTCAGTATTCAGACATTTAAGGTTACAATATATTATCAGTGACCTAGCTTCTGCAAGAATTATTGAACAAGATGGTATAGTACCTTCAGAATGGCTGTCTTCTGTGTATAAACAGCAGTGGTTTGCTATGCTGCGGGCAGAACAAGACCGTGAGGTAGGGCCTCAAGAAATCAATAAAGAAGACCTAGAGGGAAATAGCATGAGGTGTGGTAGAAAGCTTGCCAAAGATGGTGAATACTACTGGTGTTGGACGGGTTTTAACTTCGGCTTTGACCTACTTGTAATTTACACCAATGGATACATCATTTTCAAACGCAATACACTGAATCAGCCACGCAGCGGGTCTGTCAGTTTACGGCCTCGAAGGAGCATAGCATTTAGATTACGCTTGGCTTCTTTTGATAGTAGTGGAAAACTAGTATGTAGTAGAACAACTGGCTATCAAATACTTATACTTAAAAAGGATCAGGAACAAGTGGTGATGAACTTGGACAGCAGGTTTCTGACCTTCCCTTTATATATCTGCTGTAACTTCTTGTATATATCACCAGAAAAAGGAATTGAAAATAATCGTCACCCAGAAAATCCAGAAAACTGAAGATCTCATCAGTTGGAAACAGTAGCACTTTGAAAACTTTCAGGCCAGCTTTAATTTAATGGCCCTACTGATATTCACATCTAAGTTGACTAACAATGACAAAGGCCTTATGAACTGTACGGACAATACAGAAGACTATTCTTATCCTCATTGCATTTCTATGCATATACAAAAAAAATCATTTTAAAGCCAAGAAAATATCTGTCAAACCATTTCTGTCAGTACGATGTCAACTCATGCTTTTAATTCAGCATCAGCAGAAAATGACTGTAGGTAAATCTCACATTTATCTGCAACAAAATATAGATTTAATTTTTAGCTTAAACTTTGTTTCTACCTTATGTTAGTGGACCTCAGTTATCCATCTGTAAATTTATTTTTATTTGGCTAAAATAATCTAAAAGAATAATTTGGATGGCCAATTAGAAATGCTCTTTTGAGCTGGGGCATTTAAAGCTTTCCTTTAATATTTTTACCTGCTCATTATGATTCCTCCTTTTAGTCTAATATCTTTCCAGTTCATACTTGTTTTTAATCATTAAATACTTTCTTCCTGGTTTGGAGACTAAGCTGAGAAACTTTTTTTAAACTTAAGCATTGTCATATGCTATTTTTTAAAATTTGGCTTTCCTAGGATTTTAAGAACAATGAAAGTTAGCTTCACACCTTCAAATGATCTTGAATGCGTGAAAAATCAGTTTGATTCCAGGGATATTTCTTGTCTTACATGGTCTTTTCTTTGACAGTCTGTACACCTTTATTATTAGTTTTTGAGTTATTTATGTACCAGATATTATACTTTTAAATATTTTAATATTCTCTGATCTTTACAATTATTTATGTTCAAATTTTAGTTGGGAGTTTTGTTTCCTACTTAAGCTCAGGACTTGATACCCTCTGAGATGAGTGGCTTTGAGTGACATGCTAACAGCAATTTCATAGTAAATGTAAATAAGGTCAGAGGATCTAACATAGAAGCTGATGACGCATTAATGTAAAAATGGAACTTATTTTTGTCAAAAATAAGATGTACACTTGTCATGATTTATATATGTTGACCTTTTGTGTTTACTGCTGTTTTGAATAGAGCCATGTTCATTTTCTTTCCAGTTAGAGTAAGTACTTCTGTGGTTAATGTATATTTTTATTCTGGCTTTTAAAATGGGAATAATTTGTATGTATCTGTGCAAATAATAAATGCGCATTTGGAAAAAGATTAAGTAAGCTCTTATATGAAATGGACCAAAAAACCCCCCTTAATTGAAACCAACATTTTTTTTCTTTCTAGTTAGATTTTTTTCCAACTCCTTTTAACTTTTGGAATTTACTAATAATTTTTTTTCTTTCTTAATGATATGTCCATAGGTTCATAAATTGCTTTTTCTTTTAAAATTCATCTACTTGGTTTAACTTAAAGGAACCTTTTAAATGCCTCACCCTTGACCCCCAGAGCTGGAATTTAAATGTTTCTAATACAGTGATTTGGCTGTTATCAAGAGGTTACATTTCAGCTGGGCGTCAGCCGGGCATGGTGGCTCACACATGTAAGCACAGCACTTTGGGAGGCCGAGGCAGGCGGATCATTTGAGGAGTTTAAGATCAGCTATGAGCAACATGGTAAAACCCCATCTCTACTAAAAATACAAAATAAAAATAAGCCGGGCCTGGTGGCACACACCTGTAATCTCAGCTACTTGGGAGGCTGAGGCAGGAGAATCACTTGAACCCGGGAGGCAGAGGTTGCAGTGAGCGGAGATCGCACCACTGCACTCCAACCTAGATGACAGAGTGAGATTCCGTCTCAAAAAAAAAAAAAAAAAAAAAAAAGAGGTTACGTTACTTATTTTTGTATTTGACTATATTAGGCCTCTTTCACGGGAAGCTGTTGTTTTCTTTCCATCTCATTACCGTATAAGAGGTTCCTGACCCTTTATGTATTGAAAAATATAGAAATACCAAACTTAAATTATTTGGATAATTAAATTTTTGCAAATCTTGGAAGGAAAGATAATGTTTGAGTATATTAATGAATAAAGTTAACTGTTTCATTACACTTACATAAGTTAACTGGCCAAATTGGAATGATATGTGGTTTCATCCACTGGTTCTGTCCTGGCCACGTTGCTTATGTCACCCATAGACAGGATAATTCTTTCTTCAATCACGAGTAGGTTAATGTTCTTATTTGAGAAGTTGATCATTGTCAGCTAGTAATTCACACTGGTAGTAAACATGTGCTTTTGTTTTCTTACCAAACACTTTTATGTGTTTGCATAGTATATTCTTTTCAGCAGAAATATTTTCAATAGGCCGGGCGCGCTGGCTCACACCTATAATCCCAGCACTTTGGGAGGCCAAGGCAGGCGGATCACAAAGTCAGGAGATCAAGACCATCCTGGCTAACACGGTGAAACCCCATCTCTACTAAAAATACAAAAAAAATTAGCCGGGCGTGGTGGCGGGTGCCTGTAGTCCCAGCTACTCGGGAGGCTGAGGCAGGAGAATGGCGTGAACCCGGGAGGTGGAGCTTGCAGTGAGCCGAGATCGCACCACTGCACTCCAGCCTGGGCAACAGAGCAAGACTCCATCTCAAAAAAAAAGATAATAAAAAAATAAAAAAAGAAATATTTTCAATAAAGTGTTAATAGTGTAAGCTAAGATATTGTATAAACTATGGTTTATGAAAAAAAAATTTTTGTAAAATTACCTGGGCATGGTGGCACATACCTGTAGTCCCAGCTACTCAGGAGGAGAATCACTTGAGCCCAGGAGTTTGAAGCTGTAGGGATCTGTGATTGCACCACTGCACTCCAGCCTGGGTGACAGAGGGAGGCCCTGTCTTTAAAAAACAATTGTTTTTATAAGAATGCTAGTCAAGAAATGAGTTTCCAACAGGCACTCTTGGCCCCAATTAATGTTTCTCCATTTTGCCAAAAAAGTGAAAACTGGCCTCTCATGGGTGGGACCAGTGCACCCTGACCAGGTGCAACTGGCTGGGGCTGGTGTCACAGGCAGTAAAGGAATTTACTGAGACAGTCATAGGTAAAGAATGGCAGATTTATTTGAGAAAGTTCAAAGATACATTGCAAGGTTACAATGGGCAGCACAGCAGAGAAGGGGCTCTCTGCAAAGAGGCAGGGCTGGAGGGAAGTTTTATAGGGTCATGCTGGAGGAAGCTACGTGCAGAAGGAAGTTGTACTTCTGGGGCTACATGAGGAGCAAGGTATTTGGAAACAGGATGTTGTGCCAGCAGGCTGTCTGTGATTAGCTGTCTCTTGGAACAGTTGTTCCCCCGCACCTGGGACCCCTTCCTCAGTGTGGCTTCCCTATCAGGACTCCACACTAGGGTGGAAGCAGCTTTGGATGCCACAGTCACTAGATTATCTTTCTACATTCTAGCCATTTCTTCTGTTTTTGTCCCCCACGTTTTTACTGAGACATAATTAACATACCACAAAATTCACTTAGGGTTCACGATTCCATTGTTTTAGCATATTTGAAGCTGGGCAGTCATCACCTCACAGGTTTAGAGTGCTTGCATCACATACAAAATAAATCCTTTACTCGTTATCAGTCATTCCCCATCTCTACACTCCCCCGAGCCCTAGGCAACCATTCGTCTATTTTGTCTCTATAGATTTGCCTATTCTGGAAATTTTATATTAAAAAATGGTTTTTGTTTTTGAGATGGAGTCTTGTGCTGTCATCCAGGCTGGAGTGCAGTGGCGCCATCTCAGCTCACTGCAACCTCTGCCTCCGGGGTTCAATCGATTCTCCTGCCTTAGCTTCCCAAGTAGCTGGGATTACAGGCACCTGCCACCATGTCTGGCTAATTTTTGTGTTTTTAGTAGAGACGGGGTTTCACCATGTTGGTCAGGCTGGTCTCAAACTCCTGACCTCAGGTGATCTGCTGCCTCGGCCTCCCAAAGGGCCGGGATTACAGGCACAAGCCACAGCACCCGGCCAAAAAATGTTTTTTGAGACAGGATCTCGCTCTGTTGCCCAGGCTGGAGTGTAGTGGCAGAATCACAACTCACTGCAGCCTTGACCTCCCAGGCTCAAGCAATCCTCCCTCCTCAGCCTCTCAAGTAGCTAGGACTACAGATGCATGCCATCATGCCCAGCTTTTTTTTTTTTTTTTTTTTTTTTTTTTTTGTAGAGATGGTGGTGTTGCTGAGGCTGGTCTTGAACTCCTGGGCGCAAGTGATCCTCCCACCTTCACTTCCCAAAGTGCTGGGATAACAGGCATGAGCTACCGCACTCAGCCTAAAAATTTTACATAAATGGAATCATATAATATGTGGCCTTTTGTGTCTAGCTTCTTTCACTTGCCGTAGTGTTTTCAAGGTCAGCTACACTGCAGCATGTATTAGGGTCTCTTTCCTCTTCATTACCAAGGAATTTTCTATATACGTATATTTTTTTGCTGGTTCCCCCTCAGAGGATGAACCTTTTTTTTTTTTTTTTTTTTGAGTTTAAGTGTAGACGTTCAAGCAAGCGCAGTGGCTCGCACCTATAACCTCAACACTTTGCACTTTGACAGACTGAGGTGGGTAGATCATCCAAGGTCAGGAGTTCGAGACCAGCCTGACCAACATGGTGAAACCCTGTCTCTACTAAAAATACAAAAAATTAGCCGGGCATGGTGGTGGGCACCTGTAATCCCAGCTACTTGGGAGGCTGAGGCTGGAGAATTGCTTGACCCCGGGAAGTGGAGGTTGCAGTGAGCCAAAATTGCTCCATTGCACTCCAGCCTGGGTGACAGAGTGAGACTCTGTCTCAAAAAACAAAAACAAAAACAAAAACAAAAACAAAGAAACAGCGTGGAGGTTTAATAGGCAAAAGAAAGAGAAAGAAGAATAGTTCTCTCCTGCAGAGAGACAGGGGCCGCTGAGTGGCTCTTCTGGTTAGTGGTGAAATGCACCGGGTTTCATACACGAGCTTGAGGAGGTGGTGTCTGATTTACATAGGGCCCAAAGATTGGCTGGACCAGGTGTGACGTTTAGTGTCCACCCATAATGTTTTATTATGCAAATGAGCTTCCTACCTGGAGAGCACCATGTTGTCTGCTCCTTACTGTACACGTGGTTGACGAAGAAAAGGGAAGATGGAGCCTTCATGTTGAACATGCCTGACCCCCAGGTAGCCTTTTCCTGTTGGCACAGCTGCTGGCATGCCCCCAGAGGATGAACCTTGAAATAGTGCTGGGTCCTGGGTCTTCTGCCTTCTCTGTCTACATTCTGCCCCTAGGTGAGCTCATCCAGTTTCCTGGCATGAAATCCCACCTTTATGAAAATGATTCAAATCTCTTTCTCTAATCTGGTCTTTTCCCCTGAGCTCCACAAATAGTCTTCCTCTCCACTTCCTGATACATTGTTCTTAAAACCTGAGGAATCTCCAGAGAGGTAAGAGTGTCTTTGATATGCTAATGAGATGACTGCTGGCTGGGGGACCCCTAGGTAGCTTCAGGAGGTGGGCAGGTCACTGGAAAGACCAAGGCACATTTAGAGGACTAGGATTTTCAGCTCCACGCCCCACCCCTACCCCGCCCCTGCCCCGCCCCCAACCTCCCAGGAAGGGAGAGGGGCTGAAGGTTAAGCTGATCACCAGTGGCCAGTGATTTAATCAATCATGCCTCCATTAAAACCCCAAAAAACGGGATTCAGGGGGCTCCCAGCTAGCCGAACACGTGGAGGTTCCTGCAGGGTGGCACACTCCTTTCTCCATACCTCGCTCTATGCATCTCTTCTGTCTGGCCTGTGTGATATCCTTTATAGTAAATGGGTAAATGTAAGTGTTTGCCTGAGTTCTGGGAGCTTCTCTAGCAAATTAATAAAACCTGAGGAGGGGTCATGGGAACCCCAATGTATAGCCAATTGGTCAGAAGTTCCAAAGGTCTGGACTTGCAACTGACATCTGAAGTGGGGGACAGTCTTGTGGGACTGAGCCCTCAATGTGTGGGATCTGACACTAACGTCAGGTAAATAGTGTTAGAGTTAAACTGAATTAGAGGACACACAGCAGGTGTCTGACAGAGAATTGCTTGCTTGCTGTGTAGAGGGAAAATACACACATCTGGGGTCACAGGTGTATTGACTGTTGAGTGAGAGACTAGGAATAACACTTTGGCTTTTCCTATATCTCAACAACAATCCAATAGCACTTAAATATAATTTAAAATGATATTCAAGTGGACTTATTCCAGAAAGGCAAGGATGGTTTAATATTAGAAACTCAATATAATTCATTACATAAATAGATAAAATGAGAAAAGATACCAGTCTTATCAATACCTACTAACAAGGCAGTTGATAAATTTCAACTTTTTTTTTTTTGAGACAGAGTCTCTCTCTGTTGCCCAGGCTGGAATGCAGTGGCACGATCTCGGCTCACTGCAAGCTCTGCTTCCCAGGTTCACGCCATTCTCCTGCCTCAGCCTCCTAAGTAGCTGGGACTACAGGCATCTGCCACCACACCTGGCTAATTTTTTTGTATTTTTAGTAGAGACAGGGTTTCACCATGTTAGCCAGAATGGTCTCGATCTCCTGACCTCTTGATCTGCCTGCCTCAGCCTCCCAAAGTGCTGGGATTACAGGCGTGAGCCACCGCTCCCGGCCTTTTTTTTTTTTTTTTTTTTTTTTTGAGACAAAGTCTCGCTCTGTCACCCAGGCTGGAGTGCAGTGGCACAATCTTGGCTCACTGCAACCTCCGCCTCCGGGGTTCAAGTGATTCTTGTGCCTCAGCCTCCCAAGTAGCTAGGATTACAGGCGTGCGCCACCACGCCTGGCTAATTTTTGTATTTTTAGTAGAGACAGGGTTTCACCATGTTGGCCAGGCTGGTCTCAAACTCCTGACTTCAGGTGATCCACCCACCTCGGCCTCCCAAAGTGCTGGGATTACAGGCGTGAGCCATCGTCTTTTTTCTTTTTCTTTCTGTGTTTTGTTTTGGAGACAGGGTCTCCATATGTTGCCCAGGCTGGATTCGAACTCCTGGGCACAAGGAATCCTCCCATCTTGCCTCCCTGAGTAGCCAGGACTACAAGCACACATTGCCATACTTCATTGAAAACAATTTTAGAGACAGGGTCTCACTCTGTCACCCAGGCTGGAGTGCAGTTGTAACTGAGTACCTCTATCTAAGGAAGGATTTAATTATTTTTTCTCTCTTCTTTTCTTGTTGCCCCCATTCCCCGTTTCCTACTTAGCCTTTTAGAAATACAAATATAGCCTTCTACCTCCCCGTCACCAGACTCCTCCCAGGGAAAGTGTATCTAACTATGGGCTCCAAGACAGAACAAACCAAGGGTTAACAGTTGATTTGCAAACTGAAGCATGCCGGCTAAGGAACTCTCACCCTATAGCAGGCTGCCTGAGAGACCACCAGCTTGCCCACAAAGATGCCAGCAGTCACCAGCACAATGGCCCAGTAGGTAAGGCACCAAGTTAACACAGAGACCCCCCGACCTTGCTCACTTTCTCCCTTGCTTTTTAAAAGTGCCTGCTTTTTGCTCCAAAGGCCAAGTGGCACATTTAAAGGCAGGATGCTTGTGGTGCCTTTTCCCCTAAACTAGCTTCATAATACATTACTTTCTTTCTATCAGACCTCACTTTTGCTAATTGAACTCTGCACGCAGCAAGCAACTAACTCACCTGCTATTGGGTTACAGTTCTGGTGGCCCAGACTGGGAAGTGCTGTGCGCTCCGGGTAGGCCTGTGCTTGACCACCTGCTTTCACTACTAGGTGAGGCCTAGGGTCACCTGTGAGCACCAGCCGCTCGTGGCTAGCAGACCCCATGATGGGGATGTTAAGGAACTTCTCAGAAGCGGCCAAAAATGCTTTTGTTTTTGGGAAACCTCCCTTTTGCCTCCTGGCACAATGTTGGCTGCCTTCAGTGCTCCCCTGGTTCAAAGAAAGTGAACTTTCTTTGTTCACCTTTTTTGTGGGGTTGGGGGGAAGCCACCATCATTAGGAGCTGGTTAAGTTGGTTGGAGTGCACCTGACTGCCCTCTGCCTTGTTTTGGGTGTCACTGCTCTACTTACGATTTGGCTGGGCGGGGCGCAGTGGCTCACACCTGAAATCCCAGCACTTTGGGAGGCCAAGGCGGGCAGATCACCTAAGGTCAGCAGTTCGAGACCAGCCTGGCCAATATGGCAAAACCCCGCGTCTACTAAAAATACAAAAATTAGCCAGACGTGGTGGTGGGCGCCTGTGATTCCAGCTACTTGGGAGGCTGAGGCCAGAGAATCGCTTGAACCTGGGAGGCGGAGGTTGCAGTGAGCCAAGATCATGCCACTGCACTCCAGCCTGGGCAACAAGAGCGGAACTCCATCTCAAAAAAAATAAAAAAGAAAGATTTGGCTGTTAGTGATAACATTTGAGCATTTGCGTTCGTCTGCATGTGGGGCGCCAAGAGAGCTCTACTCGGATGGGACTCAGCAGTCCGCGGAGTCATTTGGAACTGCGGAGGGAAATTGAAGACCCCACCCAGCCCCTCTGATTGGACTCCTTTGGAAGTGCGCTGTTTGTTTGCACGTATGAATGTATGACTTTGTCTGTGGGCCGTGATCCCTTCTTCAACAAACAATAACAGTGTGGATAGCGACCCCACATTCTACAGTGGCTGGAGCGTTTCCTTTCGGTTGCTTTATCTTTTTTCCTTCCCCTCCTTTCTTTCTCTCACCCCACTTGTAAAACCTGGCTCCTATGTGGAAGCCAGCCAGGCTCTATCTTCCTCTATTTTGTTTTCTGCCTGCTTTATATGAGTGTGTATGTGTGTGTTTGTGTGTATGTACAGGCATTTTGTTTCGTGTTGTGGCCACAAGGTGCCAAATTGGCTTAAAGTTAAGAAGTACTCATAAATTAAGTAAAGTCTTTAAAAAATAAGCTGGCCTTAAAATTATTGGCAAAATAATATTAGAAATGTCTTAAGAATTGTCAACATACATTTTCGTTTGGATTCATTGATCAAGTGGTTTCATGTTGATCTCTGCCAGATGTTATTAGGTGTAAAAATTTTGCATAAAGCCAGGCGCGGTGGCTCACGCCTGTAATCCCAGCACTTTGGGAGGCTGAGGCGGGTGGATCGAGACCGTCCTGGCTAACATGGTGAAACCCCGTGTCTACTGAAAATACAAAAAATTAGCCGGGCGTGGTGGCGGGCGCCTGTAGTCCCAGCTACTCGGGAGCGCGAGGCAGGTGAATGGCGTGAACCTGGGAGGCAGAGCTTGCAGTGAGCCGAGATCGCACCACTACACTCCAGCCTGGGCAACAGAGTGAGACTCCATCTAAAAAAAAAAAAAGTTTGCATAAGAGTTATAAAACTATAATGCAAAATTTTGATCCAAACAGAATGATCTTTGTGAAATTTTTGATAAATAAGACATTTAATAAAAACAGGCTGGGCTCCTGCCTGTAATCTCAACACTTTGGGAGGCCAAGGTGGGAGGCTCACTTGAGCCCAGGAGTTCAAGACCAGCCTGGGCAACATAGTGAGACCCCTTCTCTAAAAAAAAGGAAAATAAAAAGAATAAAACAGCTAGGCCAGCCATGGTGGCTCATGCCTGTAATTCCAGCACTTTGGGAGGCCGAGGTAGGTGGATTACCTGAGGTCAGGAGCTCAAGAGCAGCCTGGCCAACATGGCGAAACCCCGTCTCTACTAGAAATGCAACAATTAACTGGGCGTGGTGGTGGGCACCTGTAATCCCAGCTACTTGAGAGGCTGAGAGAGGAGAATTGCTTGAATCCAGGAGGCGGAGGTTGCAGTGAGCCAAGATCATGCCACTGCACTCCAGCCTGGGCGACACAGCCAAACTCCATTTCAAAAATAATAATAATAATAATAATAATATCACTTAAGTCAAACATATGTTGTCAGAAAAATAGAAACTTTAGGCTGGGCGTGGTGGCTCATGTCTGTAATCCCAGTACTTTGGGAGGCCAAGGCAGGTGGATCACTTGTGGTCAGGAGTTGGAGACCAGCCTGGCCAATAGGGTGAAACCCCATCTCTACTAAAAATACAAAAATTAGCCGGGTGTGATGGCAGGCGTCTGTAATCCTAGTTAGTGGGGAGGCTGAGGCAGGAGAATCACTTGAGCCTGGGAAGCAGAGCTTGCAGTGAGCCAAGATCGCACCACTGCACTCCACCCTGGGCGACAGAGACTCCGTCTCAAAAAAAAAAAGTAAGATAGAAACATTAATACCTTTTAGGTCATGTGTTTAAAGATTCTTGATAAAGTAAAATAAAAACATCTTCAAAATTTATACATTTGGGCCAGACACAGTGGCTCATGCCTGTAATCCCAGCACTTTGGGAGGCCAAGGTGGGTGGATCACCTGAGGTCAGGAGTTCGAGACCAGCCTGACCAACATAGTGAAACCTTGTCTCTACTAAAAATGCAAAAATTAGCCAGACATGGTGGCACATACCTATAATCCCAGCTACTCAGCTACAGGAGGCTAAGCCAGAAGAATTGCTTGAACCTGCGAGGTGGAGGTTGCAGTGAGCCGAGATCGTGCCACTGCACTCCAGGCTGGGTGACAGAGCAAAACTCTGTCTCAAAAAAAAAAAAGCCAGGCACAGTGGCTCATGCCTGCAATCCCAGCACTTTGGGAGGCCGAGGCGAGGGGATCACCTGAGGTCAGGAGTTTCAGACCAGCCTGACAAACATGGAGAAACCCGGTTTCTACTAAAAATACATAATTAGCCGGGTGTGGTGGCGCATGCCTGTAATCCCAGCTACTCGGGAGGCTGAGGCAGGAGAATCACTTGAATCTGGGAGGCGGAGGTTGCGGTGAGCCGAGATCACGCCATTGCACTCCAGCCTGGGCAACAAGAGTGAAACTTTGTCTCAAAAAAATAAAAAATAAAAAATAAATGTATACATTTGGTCTAAATTAGGCAGGCCAGGTACTATCTGCTAGATACTTTTAAGGCCATAAACTGCTTCTATGACTTTTAATATACAACCTGATACATGGTTCACATTGCTTACCTACGAGGATTTTCATCAAAAAGTAAAAGCTGCTGAGAGTTCACATTGTAACACATACTTGAGACTACCAGAGAAACAGGTTTTACACGCAAGGTGCATAAGGAAGGTAGAATGTGTTTTTGGTAAAAGATTGTAAGATATGAAAATATATTTTTTGTTCAAGGGAATATGATTTTGTCTAATTCAGAAGTTCTTAAGGATTGTCTAATCTAAAAGAGTAATGGGACAAAATTGAAGATTTAGATAAGTCGTAAAGGATTTCTGAAGGATTGATCTTGTAAAGAAAATTCTGTGGGTTTGAGCAAGCTGGCTAAGATTTTGAGGAGATTATTTTGTTTTTCTGTAGGTTGAATATTGAAATAAAAGTACATTGGTCAGATATGGTGGCTCATGACTGTAATCCCAGCACTTTGGGAGGCCGAGGTGGGCGGATCACTTGAGATCAGGGTTCGAAACCAGCCTGGCCAACAGAATGAAACCCCGTCTCTACTAAAAATGGTATGGTGGCAGGTGCCTGTAATCCCAGCTACTCGGGAGGCTGAGGCAGGAAAATCACTTGAACCCAGGAGGCAGAGGTTGCAGTGAACCAAGATGGCACCATTGCATTCCAGCCTGGGTGACAGAGCGAGACTCCGTCTAAAAAAAAAAAAAAAAAAAAAAAAAAAAAAAAAAAAAAGAGTATATTGATGCAGGGCCAAAACTGGGCCCATGTGTCTGAATAACAAGGTGTTCTTGAATTGAGCTGCTGTTTAACAGAAACTTGTAAAGGGCTATAAAAGGCTTATGGAAATGTTACATTACGGTCAAACTAATTAGGATTGGATAGATTTGTCTATAAGGTTTTATTAAGAATCAGGTTTACAGGGCTGGGCATGGTGGCTCACGCCTGTAATCCCAGCACTTTGGGAAGCCAAGGCGGGTGGATCATGAAGTCAGGAGATCCAGACCATCTTGGCTAACACAGTGAAACCCCGTCTCTACTAAAAATACAAAAAACATTAGCCAGACTTGGTGGTGAGCGCCTGTAGTCCCAGCTACTCAGGAGGCTGAGGCAGGAGAATGACGTGAACCCGGGAGGCGGAGCTTGCAGTGAGCTGAGACCACGCTGCTGCACTCCAGCCTGGGTGACAGAGTGAGACTCCGTCTCAAAAAAAAAAATCAGGTTTAGCCAGGCGTGGTGGCTCACACCTGTAATAACAACACTTTGGGAGGCTGAGGCAGGTGGATCACCTGAGGTCAGGAGTTCGAGACCAGCCTGGCCAACATGGTGAAACCCCTTCTCTACTAAAAATACAAAAATTAACCAGGTGTGGTGGCAGGCGCCTGTAATCCTAGCTACTTGGGAGGCTGAGGCAGGAGAATCACTTGAACCCGGGAGGCGGAGGTTGCAGTGAGCCGAGATCACGCCATTGCACTCCAGCCTGGGGGACAAAAGTGAGACTTCATCTCAAAAAAAAACAAAACAAAAGAATCAGGTTTAACATTAATAGTACGCTAATGCAAAGGTGAAATTTGGCTTTCTCTTTTGAACAAGATTTTAGTGTAATATTAAAAGATAATAAAAGATTTTTGGCTGTATATGGTGGCTCACGCCTGTAATCCCAGCACTTTAGGAGGCCAAGGTGGGTGGATCACTTGAGGCCAGAAGTTCAAGACTAGCCTGGCCAACATGGCAAAACCTTGTCTCGAGTAAAAATACAAAAATTCGCCAGGTGTAATGGTGCATACTTGTAATCCCAGCTACTTGGGAAGCTGAGGCAGGAGAATCACTTGAACCCAGGAGATGGAGGTTGCAGTGAGCCAAGATCGTGTGACTGCATGCCAGCCTAGGTGACAGAGTGAGATTCTGTCTCAAAAAAAAAAAAAAAAAAAAGATAATGAAAGATTTTTGTTTGCCTTTTGAATAAATGACCAAAAAAAGGGGGGAAGAGAAAAAAGACAGATTCAGCTGGCCTCATGCTGTCTTTACTGGGTCCCATTCAGAACTGAGTATTCCCTCTGTCAGTGATTAAAGATGTTTCCCTTTTACTTATAATGACCTGGGATTCTATTTTGTAATATCAAGTGCTTAAACCTAGGCTGGGTGTAGGGGCTTACACCTATAATGCCAGCATTTGGGAGGCCGAGGTAGGCAGATCACTTGAGCTCACGAGTTCAAGACCAACATGGGGTTGGCTAGGTGTCAGTATTTGTAAGTATACTTAATTTATGGCAGTATAGTTATTTGCATAAGGTCAATACAAATCTGTTTTTTCTCTTTTTTTTTTTTTTTGTTTTTTGAGATGGAGTCTCGCTCTGTTGGCCCAGCTGGAGTGCAATGGCGCGATCTCGGCTCACCGCAACCTCTGCCTCCCAGGTTCAAGCGATTCTCCTGCCTCAGCCTCCCAAGTAGCTGGGACTACAGGCTCACGCCACCATGCCTGGCTAATTTTTGTATTTTTAGCAGAGATGGGGTTTCACTATCTTGGCCAGGCTGATGTCGAACTCCTGACATCGTGATCCACCCGCCTTGGCTTCCCAAAGTTCTCTGATTACAGGCGTGAGCCACCGTGCCTGGCCAAGAGTGTCACTTTCTGACAGGCCCAGGAACCCCAAGTTATCTTGGGACCTTGAGGAGAGGAATTCACCCAGTTCCTATAGCATTTGCAGGCACAGATAAATTCATGGCTGGACTCAAGGCTTTAAAAAGTCTTAATCTGAGATTCCTTATAAAACAAAGTTCCAGTAAAGCCAATTTTTAAAAAAGCCGATGTGACAAATAATTATTCTTGCTATACTTTATGCAAATACTCGGGCCAAGTATTGTAAGACTAAAACTTCTTTTTCTTTTTCTTTTTCTTTTTTTTTTTTTCTTGGAGACAGTCTTGCTCTGTCACCCAGGCTGGAGTGCAGTGACGCGATCTCTGCTCACTGCAAGCTCCGCCTCCCAGGTTCACGCCATTCTCCTGCCTCAGCCTCCCGAGTAACTGGGACTACAGGTGCCTGCCACCACTCCTGGCTAATTTTTTGTATTTTTAGTAGAGACAGGGTTTCACTGCGTTAGCCAGGATGGTCTCGATCTGCTGACCTCGTGATCCACCCACCTCAGCCTCCCAAAGTGCTGGGATTACAGGCGTGAGCCACCACGCCCGGCCCTAAAAGTTATTTTTCAAATAAATTTGTCCTACTATGATTTGTCTTTAGTAAAAATGGGAACTGGAGAGAGAAAAATTATGTTTCAGAAAAAACTATAGTATACCTGTTGTTAGATTCTAGTCTTGTCTACTGTTTTTGAGCTTTTATTATTTTCTGCAATTTGGACTAAATCCTGAATTCTTCCCAGGATACAATCCCAAATTAATCCTTCTAAATTTTTCTTCCATTTTTCTGAGTTGGACTCAGTGAAATTCCTACTATATTATTCTTTGCAATACAGGTGAGAAAAACGGGTCAGACTGCCACTGCCTTCCTCCTCTGTAATTAAGGATGCTTTGAGCCTAACATCTGGATAAACTGCCCAACATTAACCTTTGTTTTTCTTCTGTTTCCATGGAAACACCTCCTATTAAAAATCTGTTTGCCTTCATCACATGCAGAGGCCTAGCCCATCTCCAATGCCACCTTCTGGATGAGACACAGCTATTTAAGCTGATACTTTCTCAAAAACGAGACACTTTCATGAGGATTCATAGCTCTTTTTGTAGCCTGTCAAATATATATACCCAACCAATCTGTCATCATATCCACTTACAATTGGCAGTGGTGAACCTGCATGATAATTAAGAATTCAGGAAGTGCCTCGATAGCCATGTGAAACATGCACCAACAAATCAAAGGTGTGTCTGACCCCACACTGTTGCTAGACCAGCGGTTAGCATCCTGGTCCAGGTCAGAACCATCCTGGTGGCAAAGCTGCTTGTAACATTGGCCCTGATTGCAGAGATGGGCATATCCCTCTGTTGTAGGGTCCACTGCTGTTGCACCCCCTGTATAGGAATGCAAGACAGGCATTCTCTCAGAGGCTCTCAAGACCTCGCACTATATTGCTCCAACAAACATCATCTGCAAGCCCAAGTACTCATGAATATTTACAACTCCAAATACATCAGTTCCATTCTGATGCCCAAAGGCTATGCTCCCTCTCAGCAGGAAGTAGCCAGAATGAATATGGTGCCCAGATCCCATAGAAATGGAATGGAATTTGTCAGTGGGGAAATGTAACTGAGTACCCCCATTTTTCTAGTGGGTAGTTTAATTTTTCCTCTCTCTTCTTTTGTCTTTCCCCCGGTTGCCCACTTTCTACTTAGCCTTTTAGAAATGGAAATATAGGCTGGGTGCAGTGACTCACACCTGTAATCCCAGCACTTTGGGAGGCCAAAGCAGGCAGATCGCTTGAGGTCAGGAGTTCCAGACCAGCCTGGACAATATGGTGAAACCCCGTCTCTACTAAAAATACAAAAAGTAGCCGGGCGTGGTGGTTGGCGCCTGTAATCCTAGCTACTCAGGAGGCTGAGGCAGGAGAATCGCTTGAGCCTGGGAGGCGGAGGTTGCAGTGAGCCAAGATTGTGCCACTGCACTCCAGCCTGGGTGACAGAGGGAGACTCCATCTCAAAAACAAAACAAAGCAAAACAAAAAAACCCACAAATATAGCCTTCTACCTCCCTTTCACCAGTCTCCCTACGGGCAAGTTTATCTAACTGGACTCCAAGATGGAACTCTCAAGAGTTAACAGTTGATTTGCAAACTGAAGCATTCCTGCTAAGAAACTCTCACCCTAAAGAGGTTGCCTTGAGAGATACCAGCCTGCCCATGAAGATGCCAGCAGTCACCAGCTCTACTACTGGCAGATAAGGACCCCCTACCTTGCTCACTTCCTTCCATGCCTTTTAAAAGTTCCTGCTTTCTGCTCCAAAGGTGAAGTGGCATATTTAAAGGCAGGATGCCTGTGCCTCTTCCCCTAAGCTAGCTTTGGAATAAATCATCTTATTTCTACCAGATCCTGATCTCGTTAATTGGACTCTGCATATGGCAAGCAACTCACCTTCTGTTCAGTTACATAATGGTGTGATCATGGCTTACTGTAGCCTTGAACTGCTAGACTCACGCAATCCTTCCATCTCAGCCTCTCAAGTAGCTAGGATTTCAACATATATTTTCTGTATTAATCCGTTCTCACCCTGTACTATCTGAGACTGGGTAATTTATAAAGACAAGAGATTCAATAGGCTCACAGCTCTGCAGGCTGTACAGTAAGCATGGCTGAGGAGGCCTCAGGAAACTTATAATCATGGCAGAAGGCGAAGGGGAAGCAGGCACATCTCTACAGGGAGAACTACAAAACACTGCTGAAAGAAATCATACAGGACACAAACAAATGAAAACATTCCATGCCCATGAATTGGAAGAATCAATACCATTAAAATGGTCACACTGCCCAAAGCAATCTACAGATTCAGTGCTCTTCCTATCAAGCTACTAATGTCGTTTTCCACAGAACTAGAAAAAAAAACTATTTAAAAATTCATCTGGAACCAAAAAAGATCCCAAATAGCCAAAGCGATCCTAAGCAAAAAGAATAAAGCTGGAGGCTTCCCATTACCCAGCTTCAAACTATACTATAAGGCTCCAGTAACCAAAACAGCACAGTACTGGTACAAAAACAGACACATAGACCAATGGAACAGGACTGAGAGCCTAGATATAAAGCCACACACCTACAGCCATCTGATCTTTGACAAAGTCAACAAAAACAAGCAATAGGGAAAGGACTCCCTATTCAATAAATGGTGCTGGGATAGCTGGCTAGCCATATGCCAAAGATCGAAACTGGACCAACTTTCTTTCACCATATACAAAAATTAACTCAAGGCTGGGCACAGTGGCTCATGCCTGTAATCCCAACACTTTGGGAGGCTGAGGTGGGCAGATCACTTGAGGTCAGGAGTTCGAGACCAGCCTGGCCAACATGGTGAAACCCTGTCTCTACGAAAAAATACAAAAAATTAGCCGGGCATGGTGATGTGTGCCTGTAATCCCAGCTACTCGGGAGGCTGAGGCAGGAGAATCACTTGAACCCGGGAGGCAGAGGTTGCAGTGAGCTGACATTGCGCCATTGCACTCCAGCCTGGGCGACAGAGCAAGACTCTCTCTCAATAATAATAATAATAATAACAACAACTCAAGATGGGTTAAAGATTTAAATGTAAGACCTGAAACTATAAGAATCCAAGAAGAAAACCTAGGAAACACCATTCTGGACATCAGCCTTGGGAAAGAATTTATGAGTAAG